>NC_000023.11:35595694-35746050 GCF_000001405.40 Homo sapiens
CTCAAATGAGATCTTGGACTTAGACTTCTGTGATAGTGCTGAAATGAGTTAAGATTTCGGGAGACTGTTGGAAGGGCATGATTGTGTACTGAATTGTGAGAACATGAGATTTGGGAGTGGCAAGGGGTGGAATAATATGGTTTGGCTATGTCCCTACCCAAATCTCATCTTGAATTGTAGTTCCCATAATTCCCACACGTCATGGGAGGGACTAGGTAGAGATAAGTGAATCATGGAGGCAGTTTCCCCCATCCTGTTGTTGTAATAGTGAGTTATTTCTCACGAGATCTGATGGTTTTATAAGGGGTTTTCCCCTTCACTGGGCACTCATTCTTCTCCTTCCTGCCACCCTGTGAAGAAGGATGTATTTGCTTCCCCTTCTGCCATCATTTTAAGTTTCCTGAGGCCTCCTCAGCCATGCTGAACTGTGAGTCAGTTAAACCTCTTTCCTTTATAAATTACCTAGTCTCAGGTATGTCTTTATTAGTAGTGTGAGAACAGACTAATACATACATTAAAACTGAAAGATATAGAATCTTTGAACAGACTGATAACAAGCAGTGATATTGAAATGGTAATAAAGAAATTGCCAACAAAGAAAAGCCCAGGACCAGATGGATTCACAGCTGAATTCAATCATACATTAAGAAGAATTGGTACCAATTCTATTGACACTATCCAAAAGATAGAGAAAGAAGGAATCCTCACTAAATCATTTTATGAAGCAGTATCACCCTAATACCAAAACTAGAGAAGGACATAATAAAAAAAGAAAACTACAGACCAATATCCCTGATGAACACAGATGCAAAAATCCTCAACAAAATACTAGTGAACCAAATCTAACAGCATATCAAAAAGATAATCCACCATGACCAAGTGGGTTTTTCACCAGTGATGCAGGGGTGGTTTAACATATGTAAGTCAATAAATGTGATACACCAAATAAATGGAATTAAAAACAAAAATCACATGATCATCTCAATAGATGCATAAAAAGCATTTGACAAATTCCTACATCCCTTTATGATTAAAACCCTCAGAAAAATCGGCGTGGAAAGGACATACCCTAAGGTAATAAAGGCCATCTACAACAAACTCACAGCCAACATTATACTGAATGGGGAAAAGTTGAAAGCATTTTTCCTGAGAACTGAAAAAAGACAAGGATGCCCACTTTCACCACTTCTACTCAACATAGTTCTGGAAGTTCTAGCCAGAGCAATCAGACAAGAGAAAGAAATAAAGGGCATCCAAATTGGTAAAGAGGAAGTCAAACTGTCACTGTTTGCTGATAATATGATTGTATACCTTGAAAACTCTAAAGACTCATCCAAAGAGCTCCTAGAACTGGTAAATGAATTCAGCAATGTTTCAGGTTACAAAATTGATGTACACAAATCAGTATTTCTGCTATACACCAACAGTGACCAAGCTGAGAATCAAATTAAGAACTCAACTTCTTTCACAAAGGAATATACCTAACCAAGGATGTAAAAGACCTCTACAAGGAAAGCTACAAAACACTGCTGAAAGAAATCACAGATGACACAAAGAAATGGAAACACATCCCATGCTCATGGATGCGTAGAATCAATATTGTAAAAATGACCATACTGTTAAAAGAAATCCACAAATTCAATGCAATTCTCATTAAAATACCACCAGCATTCTTCACAGAACTAGAAAAAAATCAATCCTAAAATTCACATGGAACCAATAAAGAGCCTGCATAGCCAAAGCAAGATTAAGCAAAAAGAACAAATCTGGAGGCATCACACTACCCAACTTCAAACTATATTATAAGGCCACAGTCACCAAAACAGTATGGTATACTGGTATTAAAATAGGTACATAGACCAAAGAAACAGAATAGAGTGCCCAGAAATAAAGCCAAATACTTACAGCCAACTGATCTTCAATAAAGCAAACAAAAACATAAAGTGGGGAAAGGACACCTTATTCAACAAATGGTTCTGGGATCATTGGCAAGCCACATGTAAATGAATGAAACTGGATCTTCACCTCTCACCTTATACAAAAATGAACTCAAGATGGATCAAAGACTTAAATTTAAGACCTGAAACAACAAAGATTCTAGAGGATAAAATCAGAAAAAGCCTTCTAGACATTGGCTTAGGCAAAGACTTCATGACCAAAAACTCAAAAGCAAATGCAACTAAAACAAAGACAAATAGATGGGACTTAATTAAGCTTAAAAGCTTCCGCACAGCAAAGGAAATAATTAGCACAGTTAACAAACAACTAACAGAGTGGTAGAAAATCTTCACAATCTATACATCTGACAAAGGACTAATATCCAGAATCTACAAAGAACTCAAATGAACAGGCAAGAAAAAAAAAAAATCTCATCAAAAAGTGGGCTAAGGACATGAATAGACAGTTCTCAAAAGAAGATATACAAATGGCCAAGAAGCATATGGAAAAATGTTCAACATCACTAATTATTAGGGAAGTGTACATCAAAACCACAATGTGATACCAACTCACTCCTGCAAGAATATTCATAATCAAGAAATCAAAAAATAATAGATATTGGTGTGGATGCAGTCAAAAGAGCATACTTTTACACTGTTGATGGGAATCTAAACTAGTACAACCACTATGGAAAACAGTGTGGAAATTCCTTGATGAACTAAAAGTAGATCTACTGTTTGATCCAGCAATCCCACTACTAGGTGTCTAGCCAGAGAAAAAGAAGTCGTTATACAAAAAAGATACTTGCACACACATGTTTATAGCAGCACAATTTGCAACTGCAAAACCAGCCCAAATGCCCATCAATCAACAAATGGATAAAGAAAATGTGGTGTATATATATTATATATATATAATATATATATATAAAATATATATAAAATATATATAATATATATTATATTATATATTAAATATATTGTATATATAAATATATATAATATAATATATATAATATAATAGATTTATATAATTATATAATTTTATATAATTATAATTATATATAATTATAATATATAATTATATAAAATTATATAATTAAAAATATATAACATATATTATATTATATATATTTATATAATTATATATTAATATATATATTATATATATTAATATATATATAAAATGGAATACTACTCAGCCACGAAAAGGAACAAGATAATGGCACTTGTGACAACCTGGATGGAATTGGAGACTACTATCCTAAGTGAAGTAACTCAGGAATGGAAAACCAAACATTGCATCTTCTCACTCATATGTGGGAGCTAAGCTATGAGGACACAAAGGCATAAGAAAGATACATTCAACTTTAGGGACTCAGGGGAAAAGGTGGAGGGGTGGCAAGGGATAAAACACTACAGATTGGGCACAATATATTCTGCTCAGGTGATGGGTGCACCAAAATCTCAGAAATCACCACTAAAGAACTTATTCATGTAACCAAACACCACCTGTTTCCCAAAAGCCTATTGAAATAAAAAATAAAATAAAATTCTTGTTTTAAAAAAAACAATGCCAATCTTCTCATCTTTGGAGGAAGTTTGAAAATGTATTTATCTTTCATTAAAATGTTTATATTAAAATGTAATAAATTTGTAATTGTTTTAAATAAATGAATAAATATTTTTTTAAAAGAATTAAATGAGTTATTATTTGTAAAACATTTAGAATAATGCTTGGCATACAGTTAGTGCTGCCTAAGTGTATATTAAATAAAAATTAAATATCAGAAAAAAAAGTATAAACATTTTCTTCTAGTAATATAACTTAGGATGGGCCAGAGTTTAATTTTATGATGCTGGATGGCATTATGAGATCAATAAGGCATCCTAAGATTTAGTGTGCCTAATGTTCTTTGTCTTTTATTGTGTATCATAGAACATTAAAGGATGATGGCTGTAGAAAAACCAAGAAGGAGATTGAGGAAATGATTTGGTCTGATTTAAAATGTATACTCTTAGATAATATTTTTAGAGAGAAAATAAATTTTATTCTTATGCTTTCAAGTTATCACAAAGCATAAATTAATGGAACAAAAATTAATGGAGTTTAGCCGAGATGTTTTAAGCTAGCAAGATCTGACACGTTAAATTGAGGTTACACATAAAATTAAAATACACAGAACTCATTTGGGAAACAATTCATTCTATTTTATGCTTCCAAAATCCTCTTTAGCACATCAAAGAAGACTTTGCCACTTATTAGCTGTGTGATTTTGGGAGAATCACTCAGATTACCTAAAGCTTTTTTCTTGTCAGTAAAATGGAGTGGACAAGTATTCCAAAGCTTATCTCCCAAACCCCGTGTCATCCCACATTCTTCAGAGGGCAATCATAAATATAAGAGTTTTTTAAACAATAGAGATATATAGATAAAACTGAGTGTATATCTTGAATTGAGTCTCCCTGATAGCAGATCATGAGACAATTATTTGGGAAGAGGAGATTTATTGACAGGTTATCTACAGAAACATAAACAAAGGAGAAAGGAGTATAATAGTGAAAAAGAGGAAAACCAATAAGGAGCTGATTTTTCCTGTAGACAGATAGGCTCAGTCTCCCTGTAAACCCTATGAGTGACAATGTAGAGTGAACTAAAGAATTGGCTTCCCCCATGGGATAGGTGGCTGGCACTTTTTAATACAGACCCCCATCCCCCACCAGTTAAAGTTTTTCTTTGATGACATTAAAACCCCTGATCGGACCTGAAAGAAGGCAGAAAGAAGGCTTAAGGCAGAAAAGCAAAAGAGGCCAATTTGCTTTTGCCTTGGCACCCTAAGAGTGTGCAGGTTACTGTCCAATATTGCTATAGGTGAGATCAGAAGTAAACCATAAAGTAAAGAAATATATATATTACATATTTCATATATAATATATATATTATATATTATATATTATATATTATTTTATATATTATAATATACAATATATATAATATATATAAATATATAATATATAATATAATATATATTATATATAAAATATATATAATATAATATATATTATATATAAAATATATATAATATATATAAATATCATAAATAAAATATATATAATATATAATATATATTATATATAATATATAATATATATAATATATAATATATAATATATATAATATATAATATATAATATATATAATATATAATATATAATATATAATATATAATATATAATATATATAATATATAATATATAATATATAATATATATAATATATAATATATATAATATATATAATATATAAAATATATAATTACATATAATTATATATATTTTATATATAATATATATAATATATAATTACATATAATTATATATATTTTATATATAATATATATAATATCAGAGAAACTCTGAGGTTTAATTTATTTTAAATGTGCTACTTCAAGGAAAATACAGGATAAAAAAATCAAAGAGTATCTAAGGGGTATATATATCTTTGTGTGTGTATGTATGTATATCTATATATGTATATATACACAAACATATGTATATCTACATATATAGATATACACATATCTATACATATATATAAACACAAACACACACACAGTTATTGAGAGTGCCTTATTTTCATTTCACCAAATGAAAAGAGAACAATAGAGGATTATATCTCATCGGAATTTAAAATAGACTTTTTATATATTCTGAAGGTAGCAGAATTGTAATTACTTGCATTTTAAATTAATTGATATTGATTTTTATTAGTTCACAGTCTAATATGGATCGAAGTGGAAAGAAAACGTGGAAATTCAAATATCCTTCTGAAGCTGACTATGCTAAATATCATGCAAACAGAGGAAAGCTAGGTATCTCGGTTCATTTTCTGTCGCTATGACAGAATATGTGAGACTGAGTAGTTTATAAAGGACACAGACTTATTTCTCACAGTTCTGAAGGCTGAGGAGTCCAAGAACATGGCACTGGCATCTGGTGAAAACCTCCTTGCTGTGTTATCCAGTGGTGGAAGGTGAGAGGGTAAGCCAGGGCATGCAAAGAAGGAGAAAACATGAGGGGCTGCACTTGCTTTATAACAACCCACTCTCACAGCAACTAACCCATTTCCTCAATAACTTCATTAATTCATTAATGAGAATGGGGACCTTATGACCTAATTACTTCTTAAAGGCCCTACCTCATGAGTTTTGGCAGGGGCATTCATGTTATAGCAATAAGTGTTTGATATATATACATATATGTTATATATATGATATATATACATATATGTTATATATATAATATATATAGTTATATATAACATATATTATAATATATAATAATATATAATATATATTATTATATAATTATATAATATATATTATATATAATTATATATATTATATATTATTTATATATAATAATATATATTATATTATATATTTTACATATATTATAATATATATTATATTATAGATTTTATATATATTATAATATATATTATATAGTTATATAATATATATAATTTATATATAATATATATAAATATATAATATATAATTTATACATAAAATTTATATATATATAAATTATATATATATAATTTATATGTATTATATTATATATTATATATATTATAATATATAATATATATATTATATATAAATATGATATGATATAAAAATGAACCGAGATACCTAGCTTTCCTCTGTTTGCATGATATTTAGCATAGTCAGCTTCAGAAGGATATTTGAATTTCCACGTTTTCTTTCCACTTCGATCCATATTAGACTGTGAACTAATAAAAAGCAATATCAATTAATTTAAAATGCAAGTAATTACAATTCTGTTACCTTCAGAATATATAAAAAGTCTATTTTAAATTCCGATGAGATATAATCCTCTATTGTTCTGTTTTCATTTGGTGAAATGAAAATATCTAAGTCACTCTCAATAACTGTGTGTGTGTTTGTTTGTATATATATGTATAGATATGTGTATATCTATATATGTATATATACATGTTTGTGTATATATACATATATAGATATACATACATACACACACACAAAGATATATATACCCCTTAGATACTCTTTGATTTTTTTATCCTTTATTTTCCTTGAAGTAGCACATTTAAAATAAATGAAACCTCAGAGTTTCTCTTATACATTGGCTGAAATCCCCAGCTAACAACTTCATTACTTTAAATAAATAAGTACCTGCAGACCTTTAGGAAGAAGAAATATTTTCTTTCCTTTAATATTTTCATAGGGCAATACTCTATTAAAAACGCATAATTATTATTCAAAAGTTATGAAAGACAAGTAAATTGTGGATATAATTAAAAGTTCAAAAATTACTAAATAAAATGCAGTTTAAATTATTAATGGATCTTTAAGTTAAAGTAGGGATACTACTTTATGTTTTTATTGAAGACAAGAGATGCCTGGATGATGCTTAAAATATATGTCTTTTTGGGCTAATGTCAATATTCATATTATACATTTCAAGTTATTGCAGATGTGTGAAACACTTTGGGACCAAAATTCTAAATTTCTACCTGGAAATCAAATATTAATTTATTTGGAGCAACAAATGTCACATTTTATTTTTATTTTTATTTTTATTTTTTTAGAGACGGAGTCTCGTTCTGTCGCCCAGGCTGGAGTGCAGTGGCACGGTCTTGGCTCACTACAACCTCCGCCTCCTGGGTTCATGCGATTCTCCTGCCTCAGCTTCCTGAGTAGCTGGGATTACAGGCGCACACCACCACAGCCGGCTAATTTTTTGTGTATTTTTAGTAGAGACAGGGTTCCACTATGTTGGCCAGATTGGTCTCAAACTCCTGACCTCGTGATCCGCCCACCTCAGCCTCCCAAAGTGCTGGGATTACAGGTGTGAGCCACCGCGCCTGGCCCAAATGTCACATTTTAAAAGTGTCTTTAGGACATATAATTGAGATCACAGTGTTAACTGCATCCAGCCACTATTTTTTTCTTTGAATAATTATCAAATATTTAATAAAGGTTTATCATCAAAATACAGCTAAAGGTAAACCTTTATCTTTTTTATACCTACATCACTTCTAAGACTTAAGCGAAATTTGTAAACATTATAAAGTTTAAATTTATTACTATGAATTCTAATCATTTTATTAATATTAAGCATATAAGCATGAGTGAAAAGGTAAATCAAAACCATTAAAGTATTATTATCATGGATGATGTGGCAGGTAGAATATTTCCCTGAAGATGTACGTGACCTAATCTCCAACACCTGTGAATACATTACCTTAAATGACAAAGGACTTTTCAGATGTAATTAAGTTAAGGATCTTGAGATGAAGAGGCTATTCTTGATTATTTAGTTAAATCCAAAGTAATCACAAAGATCTTAATAAAAGAAAGAAGAGTCAGAATTAGAGAAGGAGATGTGATGATTAAAGTAGAGGTTGGAATGAGGATGCCAATGCCAAGGAGTGCAGGTGATCTCTAGCAGGTGTGACAGGCAAATAATCGATTCTCTCCTAGAGCCTCCAGAAAAAATGATAGCCCTGATGACAAACTGATCTCAATCCTGTAAGACCCATTTTGAATTCTGACCTCCAAAACGGTAAGATAATACATTTCTGTTGGTTTTGAGGTATAAAATTTGTTGTAATTTGTTAGAGCTGCAGTAGGAAAATAATACAGGTATGTATAATTTAAACTTCCCATATTATAATAGCATGCTTTTATATTTCTAAAGATGTCTTGCATAGCTTAAATCAGACACCTAACTAAATACAAAATGTATAATCGTTATAATTCAAGTTAGCAATCACATGACTCCAAGAAACAGAGACTCACTCAAGATAGTTAAAATAAGTAGGGAATTTAGTTTACTTTGTTGTAAAAGGAGAACCTTATAGGGCCCAATATTTAGAAGTAGAGCTTAACCTGCAGAAACTAGAAGAGCAGGCAGATAGTGTCTTATTCTTTTATTCCCTGACTTTTGTTCTTGCTCTCTCTTCCCAGCCTTCATCAATCTTAATATAAAAATGGATCCTAAGCTGGAAAAATATTTTTAAAAAATCAATGTTGCAAAGTGTACCAAGACTATATTATTACTGGCCTGCCAAGAATAAGACAGCAGTACCACAAACATTTTAGTATGGAATCTAAACATCAAAACAGTGCAGAAACTTTACTTTCTCATAATACAAGCCATTCTAATTAGATGATTCTGTCAAAATGTCTTCTTCAGTGGTAGATGGACATACAACTATTTTCTAAGACAGAGTTAAAGGAATCATTTGGTAGCTTACAGAAAGCCAAACCTCTACTTCTGTCTCTAAAACAGGAACATCCCTGCTCTGCAGATATGGAGTAATCATAAAGTAACTCAATAATTATTCTTCTAGTACACTGGTATAATGACTATAATTTTTTCCTTCCTTCCTCAAATCACCTCAAAAACATTTCGTTTTCTCCGTATCTCATGCAGTGGTCCTAAGATCAGGGCTGCAACTACAAGTGGTGGAAGAAGGGATGGTTTCTAAGCAAGAAACTAACTATTTTTAAAACTTATGTCAGAATTTCTAGGGGCCTGATGAGAGTGGATTGTGCCTTTACCCCATCCGTCAAAATTAGGGCTAACAGTGAATACAACTATATCGTCTGGTGGCAGAAACAGCCTACTAGTTCTGTGCCTATGTAACCTTATCCTAACTGAGTGTGAGTGGACTGAGAGGAAGGCACTTGCTGGACTAGTATTGCTATCAGCAATCTGGTCCAGCACAGTGGCTGAGCCTAATGTCCCTTCCAAATGTGGAAAAGTGTGAATAAAAATAAATGACAAATGGATGAAAAGAGAATAGCTGAGGGTAAAGAAATGAATCAATGGGTAACAAATTGAGGAAAATCTAATATTAACAACTTGACAGAGTCTCAGAGCAAGAGATGACGTTGTCTCTTAGCTCAATTATTCCAGATGCTTGAATGGATGAAGCTATAGATCTGCCAAAATGACTCTTGCTTTTGGAACCTGACAAAATTGAAAGAAAGTCTACAAACGTGAGTGGTCTCACTCTGGGAGACAGCCATACAACATGATGGACTGAACTAATTGTTAATGACTGTGTATATTTATTTATTGATGTAAAGGATCCATGGTAGAAAACCAGGGGTTGGCCTGTGGTGTTATTACACACACTATATATATATATATATATATATAGTATGTGTGTGTGTGTGTATATATATGTATGTATATATATGCACACAATAACAGGAGATACATGTATATACACACTATATATTTTACAATATATAAATGTACGTGTATATTATATATATTGTATACACACACATATATATAATATATATACCATAACCTATATATAGGTTTCCATCCAGGGTTTCTGGCTTATGACACCCATAGCCCTTGTTACAGTTTTGTGTTATAATGATGGGTGCATTAGGCTACAGGGGCAGGCCTCAGGAAACAGAATCTCTGACATTATCCTGTCCTCCTTTCACCTGCCCGAAGCAAGACTCTAACCTTTCCCTGCCTTTCTGATTGTCGGTCTTAAGACCCTCACCAGAGTGGATTCTGTCCTATACTCTGGGGAAAGGAATTCTGGCAGCATGAAACTTCCATAAAACCCCAAGGAAACTGGGTTTGGAGAGCTTCTGGATGGCTGAACATGTGGAGGTTCCTGGAGAGTGGCACGCCAAGGGATGGCGGGGAAGTTCCACACCCCTTTTTCGATACCTCTCTCTATGTTTATCTTTATCCGTATCCTTTATAATATCCTTTAGAATAAACTGGTAGGCTGGGTGTGGTGGCTCACGCCTGTAATCCCAGCACTTTGGGAGGCCAAGGTGGGCAGATCACGAGGTCAGGAGATCAAAACCATCCTGGCTAACACGGTGAAACCCCATCTCTACTAAAAATACAAAAAAATTAGCCAGGCATGGTGGCAGGCACCTGTAGTCCCAGCTACTTTAGAGGCTGAGGCAGGAGAATCGCTTGAACCCGGGAGGCGGAGGTTGCAGTGAGCCGAGATGGCGCCACTGCACTCCAGCCTGGGCGACAGAGCGAGACCCATCTCAAAAATAAATAAATAAATAAACTGGTACTTTTTTAAAAAAAGAAGAAAAGTAATTATCTTCTTTAATGCATAGGATCTTTAATAATAATAACACCCAGAATTTATTATATATTATAAAAATCAGTGGCTATCATGGGCCAGAGACCCATACTGAAGTCATTTATAAAATATCTTTAAAATTCCCCACCCAAGTAAGAGGCAGAATCAGATTTTGGATCATTCTATCCCCTATTAATAAAAACACTACTCCATTTTTGTCACTGTAGTGATAAGAACACTGTACATTCTTGTTGGTTATAAAAAATAGGCTGGGCATGGTGGCTCATGCCTGTAATCCCAGCACTTTGAGAGGCTGAGGTGGGCAGACTGCTTGAGCTCAGGAGTTCGAGAACAGCCTGGGCAACATGGCAAAACCCCGTCTCTACAAAAAATGCAAAACTTACCTGGGCATGGTGGCTCACACCTCTAGTCCCAGCTACTTGGGAGGTTGAGGCAGGAGGATCACTTGAGCCAGGGAGGCAGAGTTTGCAGTGAGCCAGGATCTCACCACTGCACTCCAGCTTGGGTGACAAGAGGGAGGCCTTGTCTCAAAAATAAGTAAATAAATAAAATAAAAACATACACAGCTCTAAAATCTACAAATTGTTATTTAATACTACTAGAAACATATAAAGCAAATGAAAAGAAAAAATAAAACCAAGTGCAATATTTTCGAGCTTTTCTACAGGATATTTACATTATTCACAAGTCATTTACCTGAATCAGAGACCTAACCACACCATCTTTTATCACTTTCAGCCTAGATTCATCCTTCTCCCAGCAGCGGTGATGAATGGCCACCAGATGAAAAAGCATAGGCTGTATCGAAAAAACTGACAATTCTTCTTAAGAGGATTAACTATGCAGTGGTTGTTGTAACAAAGATAAGATTATTTTCAAACTTGGCAGCAAGTGCATCCAGGGATAAATCCAGGTTCTGTAGTGCTTGAAGCTTGTTTGATTTGCACAGCCTCTTTAACAGAGGAGAATATAAAATTAAAACTAAAAAACAAAAGTATGAAAGGGAATATTTATTTAGCATAGGAAAAGAGATCAAAACAAATTATAAATTTTGAAAGCTAATAAATATCACAAGCACCACGAAATTCAGAAAAAGAATAACTTAATTGACTGACACATTTCTGAAATGCATTTAGCCCCTATATTTCTTGTCTATATCATCTTTTATTCCCTCTTCATGTGACAATGATTTTTGTATCATCATTTTCTATAGGAAGTATTATTTTCTATAGATAATGGTATCATTTTACATGCATAGCTGATTGAATTTTTAAATATACGTATATTTCAGCTTTATAACTTATTCATATCATACACATTCTTAAAAAGACTGTCAAGTTTGTGATGCCTCTTTTAAAGTTATTTTATAGGTGAGTTGTAAAATGTCAGGGCACTTACAATTTTCTTATGCAGTTTCTAATCTTAAATAATATTTGGCATAACACAGTTTTTTGATGTCTTCATTGAAGTGCCGTATTATGAGTTTTGAGCTCTTTCATTAATAACACTATTTCCTGTCAAAACAGCTAGAAATTTAAAAAATTGCAGTGTATTTATATGATTCATTCATCTTTATTAATTGTATTATACATTGATACAAAGGATTATTTAATAGATCTATTCAAAATGCATCTCTTCTTCATGAATTACTGTTTTAGTTATTTTCAAAAAAAATACAACTTGTTTTTTTTTTAGCTTTGTAGAGGAATGTTCTGTGTTGTCTAGGCTGGTCTCGAACTCCTAGCCTCAAGTGATCCTCCTACCTAAGTCTTCCAAAGTGCTGGTATTTCAGGTGTGAGCCACCATGCCTAGCCATAACTTGCTTTTTGATGTTATAATAATTTCTATTGCTTTTTATCATGCATTTTTGTAACATGCTACAGTTAATTATTTTAGTTTTAACTGTTCTTTTTTAAATTCCACATATAAGTGACATTATGTAGTATTTTTCTTTCTGTTTCTGGCTTATTTCACTTAGAATAATGTCGTCCAAGTTCATCCATGTTGTAGTAAACGACAAGAGAAGATAAAGAGAATAAAAGGATGGTTACCAGGAGTGGGAGGTGGGGAATGGATACAAATGGATACCAGGAGTGGTGGAGGTTTATGTCAAAGGATACAAATTCATAGATATATAGGATGAACAAGCCTGAAGATCTAATGTACAACATGAAAACTATAGTTAATAAAATAATCTAAAGTTTTTTAAGTTCTTCAATAAAGATATTTAATAAAGATAACAACAGAAGGTAGCTTTCATATACATCCAAATTAGATGTCTATATTTCATACTTCTTTCATTTATGGAACACTTTGAAATGTTCTTTAAGCTGAAAACTTCAACATCCCACTTCAGCAATGGACTGATTATCCAGTCAGTAATTCAACAGAGAAACAACAGACTTAATCTGTACTGTAGACTAAATGGAAGTAATAGATATTTACAGAACATTTCACCCAGTGGCTGTAGAATACACATTATTCTCCACAGCACGTGGATTATTCTCAAGGATAGACTGGATTCTAGGCCACAAAATAAATTATTAAAAATTCCAAAAAGTTGAAATTATATCAACTATCTTCTCTGAACACAATGAAATAAATCTGAAAATCAATAACAAGATAAATACAACTTGTATCCCCTGTGACCTGCACGTATACATCCAGATGGCCTGAAGCTACTGAAGATCCACAAAAGAAGTGAAAATAGCCTTAACTGATGACATTCCACCATTGTGATTTGTTTCTGCCCCACCCTAACTGATCAATGTACTTTGTAATCTCCCCCACCCTTAAGAAGGTTCTTTGTCATTCTCCCCACCCTTGAGAATGTACTTTGTGAGATCCACCCCCTGCCCACAAAACATCGCTCCTAACTCCACCGCCTATCCCAAAACCTGTAAGAACTAATGATAATCCCACCACCCTTGGCTGACTCCTTTTTCAGACTCAGCCCACCTGCACCCAGGTGAAATAAACAGCCTTGTTGTTCACACAAAGCCTGGATGCGTGAAACATTTAGTGCTGAAGGCCCAGGTCAGAGGGACTCCTTCGGGAGACCAGTCCCCTGTCCTCACCCTCACTCCATGAAGAGATCCACTTACGACCTCGGGTCCTCAGACCAACCAGCCCAAGCAACATCTCACCAATTTCAAATCAGGTAAGCAGTCTTTTCACTCTCTTTGCCAGCCTCTCTCGCTACCCTTCAATCTCTCTGTCCTTCCAATTCCAGTTCTTTTTCCTCTCTAGTAGAGACAAAGGAGACACATTTTATCCGCAGACCCAAAACTCCAGTGCCGGTCATGGACTTGGGAAGCCAGTCTTCCCTTGGTGTTTAATCACTGCAGGGACACCTGCCTGATTATTCACCCACACTCCATTGGTGTCTGATCACCTGCCTTGGTCATTCACCCACGTTCCCTTGGTGGCAAGTCAACTGAGGGGATGCCTGCTTTGGCTGCTCACCCACATTGCAGCCCAGGGCTGCTCCCTACCCCACTTCTCTGTGTCTCTACCCTTCTCTTTAAACTTGCCTCCTTCACCCTCCATTCCTCCTTCTTCTCCCTTAGCCTGTGTTCTCGAGAACTTAAAACCTCTTCAACTCTCACCTGACCTAAAATCTAAGCGTCTTATTTTCTTCTGCAATGCTGCTTGGCCCTAATACAAACTCGACAATGGTTCCAAATGGCCAGAAAATGGCACTTTTGATTTCTCCATCCTATGAGACATAGATAATTTTTGTCGAAAAATGGGCAAATGGTCTGAGGTGCCTTACATCCAGGCATTTTTCACACTTCGTTCCCTCCCTAGTCTCTGTTCCCAATGCAACTCATCCCAAATCCTCCTCCTTTCCCTCTCACCTGTCCCTTCAGTCCCAACCCCAAACATCACTGAGTCTTGTGAATCTTCCTTTTCTACTGACCCATCTGACCTCTCACCTCCTTCCCAGACTGCTCCTCCTCAGGTTGCTCCCCGCCAGGCTGAATCAGGCTCCAACTCTTCTTCAGCCTCTGCTTCCCCACACTATAACCCTTCTATTACCTCCCCTCCCCACACCCGGTCTGGTTTATAGTTTCGTTCTGTGACTAGCTCTCCCCAACCTGCCCAACAATTTCCTCTTACAGAGGTGGCTGGAGCTGAAGGCATAGTCAGGGTACATGTGCCTTTTTCTCTATCAGACTTTTCCCAAATCAGCCAGCGTTTAGGCTTTTTCTCATCAGACCCCACTAAATATATACAGGAATTCCGATATCTAACTCTGTCCTATAATTTAACCTGGAATGACTTAAATGTCATCCTAACTTCTATCCTCTTCCCAGATGAACGGGAAAGAGTTTTTTCTCTAGCCCAATCTCATGCTGATAACTGCCAGCTTCATGAGCCAGACCTCCAGGAAGGCATTAGAGCAGTTCCCCGAGAAGAACCCCAATGGAACTATCAGGCAGATTCCCCAGGTATAGCTAGGCGAGATTACATGGTTTCCTGCCTAGTTGAAGGGCTTAAAAAGGCAGCTTACGAAGCTGTTAATTATGACAAACTTACAGAAACTACCCAAGGTAAAGACGAAAACCCAGCCCAGTTCATGGCTCGCTTAGCAGCAACCCTTAGACACTTTACCATTCTAGACCCACAGGGGCCAGAAGGCCGCCTTATTCTTAATATGCATTTTATCACCCAGTCAGCTCCTGACATTAGAAAAAAGCTTCAAAAATTGGAATCCAGCCCTCAAACCCCACAACAGGAATTAATCAACCTCGCCTTCAAGGTGTACAGTAATAGAGAGGAGGTAGCCAGACAGCAACACATTTCTGAGTTACAGCTACTTGCCTCTGCTGTAAGACAACCCACAACCACGTCTCCAGCATACAAAAACTTCAGAACATCCAAGCCACAGCTCCCAGGGGCTCCATCAAAATATCCTCGTGGACCTTGCTTCAAATGCCAAAAGCCTGGCCACTGGGCCTCAGAATGCCCACAGCCCGGGATTCCCCCTAAGCCATGCCCTGTCTGTGCAGGCCCCCACTGGAGGTCTGACTGTCTGACTCACATCACCATCGCTCCTAAAGCTCCTGGAGCCCAAACCCAACATTCCTTGGCCGACTCCTTCCCAGATCTCCTTGGCTTAGCAGCTGAAGAATGACACTGCCCTATTGCCTCGGAAGCCCCCTGGACCATCACAGATGCCAAGCTTCAGGTAACTCTTACAGTGGAGGGTGAGTCTGTCCCCTTCTTAATCAATACAGAGGCTACCCACTCCACATTACCTTCTTTTCAAGGGCCTGTTTCCCTTACCTCTGTAACTGTTGTGGGTATTGACGGCCAGGCTTCTAAACCTCTTACGACTCCCCAACTCTGGTGCCAACTTGGACAACATCCTTTTATGCACTCTTTTTTAGTTATCCCCACCTGCCCAGCTCCCTTATTAGGTCAAGACACTTTAACCAAATTATCTGCTTCCCTGACTATTCCTGGGCTACAGCCACACCTTATTGCTACCCTTTTCCCCAGTTCAAAGCCTCCTTCGCATCCTCCCCTTGTATCTCCTCACCTTAATCCACAAGTGTGGGACACCTCTACTCCCTCTTTGGAGACTGATCATGCACCCCTTATCATCCCATTAAAACCTAATCACCCATCACCCTTACCCCACTCAATGCCAATATCCCATCCCACAGCATGCTTTAAAAGGATTAAAGCCTGTTATCACTCGCCTGCTATAGCATGGCCTTCTAAAGCCTATAACTCACTTGTAAAGGTTATAGCCCAGGGACGGAGGCTCACTAAAAGACTGAGACCTAATCATAAGATTATAGAATTAATTCTCACTCTCTTCCATGATTTACTACTCCGTTGATAGATTTCCTAAATAATAAGAGTACATTGCAGTTCAAAGAACTGCCCACCTCAAGTTTTATTTAATAAGGAGTTTCTAGGGAAACCCAATGGCAACAGGGAGGTAAAAACAAGGACACTAGAAGGCATTTTAGCTTCTGAGACCACAATTATGGCAAACAGTAAATATAATTTAAATCCCATCAAGATAAACATAAAACCTCAAATTAAAGTTCTATTATCTCATTTCCTTTCATATGCTACATTGTGTCTGGCTTTCAATAACAACAACAAAAAAATTAAAACCATGCTAAAAGGCAAGAAACATAGTCTGAAGAGACAAGCCAAGCATCCTAACATGCCTCAGACATGGTATCACTATTGGAATGATCAGACTAGGAATTTTAAATAAGTATGATTAATATGCTAAGGGCTCTAACAGGAAAAAAACTGGATAACATTCAAAAGCATAAGGGTAATATAAGTAGAGAAATATATACATATATAAATAATTACTTCAAGTATAAATTGTCGAAATACAACAAATAAAAGACATGTTTTCATAGAGGCTTTAAAAAAAATTTTGTTACACAGATAAATTAAAACGAAAAACACAACACTTGACTTTCAAGGGTGTTGAAGATTGGCAATAATATATGCATAGTGCTTGACAAATAGTAAGCATGTGGTTATTATTATCACATTTACTATTAATTTTTATTCCTCAACAAAATTTATTGTCTCAGAAATGCCCAGAAGTGCAGCACAAGTTATCAAATTGTCTTTCATGTATGATTAGAAGTGTCCGGTCTTAGTAATATCTTGGCTTTAACAGAAACTGACCATCAAATCAGTTTACTACTTCCCTTTCAGCCTCCTCGATGGAAAACTTTTTCTCTCTCTTTCTCTCTCTCACTTTTACCATTGCATGTACTGCAGGGTCATGAAATGATGAAGGTACATATTTAGTATTGAGGCTTCCAAATAATTTTTGCTGCTTTTTTCCTTCAAAAACTCCAGCTCCAAGGATATGGGTAATCGGGCAATCTCATGTATTTTAGAGTAGGAGTGCTACAATCTTTTTGGAAAGTAATCTGTTAATATTGACTTAAAAGTAATAATAATAAAAAAACTAAAGACATAGGTACTTTTTGTACCCGGAAATAATACATTTGGCAATATATTTTTATTATAAATAAAAGCATCATTATATAACCGTGCTTTTTTGCAATTAGTTGGAAGAAACAAAACCAAAAAGGCAGGGACAAGGGCTGAATGAACGAAATATAGCACATTCATGTTATGGAATATTATGCAGCTATTATAAAGAGTATCCTATGTACCCATATAGGCATCTACTTATTTAATTACTTTTCCAGCTTTGTTAAAGAATGATTGACAAATAAAAATTATATGTATTTTAGGTGTACAATGTGGTTTTGATATATGTGTACATTGTGAAATGATTACCACAATCAAGGTAATTAATGTATACATCACCTCGCATAGTTACCTTTTGTGCATACGTATGACATTTACTTATTTTTAAATACGTTTCTTTGTGTATACCACCCGTAGATATGTCAAAAAAGTTATCTGAACTGAAAAAAGCAATATGGAGATGTATTTATGTTTGCCTAGATGTTCATAAATATAAGTAAAGAAAACTGGATGTCAGAATGTTCACATTAGTTTCTGTGGTGTTAACAGGTAAAAGAGGAAAAAGATAGTTACTATTGTATTTATGCATCTTTACATTGTTTAATTGATTATACTGAGAACATGTTGTTTTTAATTAAAATATTTTTAAAATGTTAAAGATTACATCTCATTCCCCTTTTACAAGCTTACTTCTTCTGGTTAAAGTCAACTACTTGAAGTCTAGTCACTCTTCCTCATTAACTGGAAGCTCTTATTTCTGGCTCTCAGTTTTCCTTTCAATACATTTTTTTTCTGTGATTATCTTCTGTAACAACAAGGACATATGCAGAAATACATTATAGACATGCGATTTGAGATCATGTTGACATTAGGTTGCTCTCTTCCAGTCACTGGTAAAAGACAAATTAAATATAACAACTTATGAAAGTACACTGACATGTTGAGAAAAAAATATTATAGCAGCAAAAACATATATAACAAAATCATCATGAAGTCTAGATAACTTGAAGTGGAAGTAAGGGGAATGAGAATCTGTCACTATGTCTAGAGATACAACAGGGCCAGGAAGATTACTACTGTTCAACACACTTTTTGCAAGAATTCAATGATAACATCTCACAAATTGTCCTAATATTTTGCTTCAACTCTAAACTTCTTATTTCAATAGAAAAAGCAATACACAGTAGAGCAATTTTTAAGAAAATGTATTGCTGGCCAGGCGCGGTAGCTCACGCTTGTAATCCCAGCACTTTGGGAGGCCGAGGCGGGCAGATCACGAGGTCAAGAGATGGAGACCATCTTGGCTAACATGGTGAAACCCCATCTCTACTAAAAATACAAAAATTAGCTGGGCGTGGTGGCGTGTGCCTGTAGCCCAGCTACTTGGGAGGCTGAGGCAGGAGAATCGCTTGAACCCGGGAGGTAGAGGTTGCAGTGACCCAAGATTGCACCATTGCACTCCAGCCTGGGCAACAAGAGCAAAACTCTGTCTCAAAAAAAAAGAAAAAAGAAAAAAAAAAGAAAATGTATTGCTGAGGCAAAGGATGTACAGATTATATGTGATGGAATGGTTAATGCTGTTTGAATGTAGGGATTTGGGGAGGGCTGTCTGAGAAATTGAAAATGTCTGCAATGATACTAGATGCATTGTTTAAACTCAAAATCTGTCGTTCAACTTGTTGTGCAGTTTAGTGTTTTTTATTAGTCTGTGTTTATTCATTCACATGACACTGTAATTTGATCTTTTAAAACCCTTCTAAATATGTTTATTTTTCTCCTTTATTCCTATAATAACAAAGGAAAATAAAGGCAATGATGAAGTTTAAACTATCACTATAATCAATCTACGAAAGTTACCTAGCCCTTGGCTTGACCTGCATCAGTTCAGACTTAGCTGGAAAACTACTAAACATGTACAACTTAAACCACTTTTTTCCCTATCTAGTCTCAGCTTCAGAGATTCAGTCAACAACTGGATATTAACATGTAAATATCTTATTGCCATATCAAACTCAGAAAGGAAAGGACAAAACTTCTCTAGGGTATGTGACTTTGTTTCTAAATCTTTGCTCCCATTGTATCATCCTTCTTTGATGCCTTCTTATGTCCCTACTACCCACCCATAAAAGACGAACTCATTCACTCATTCTTGAGGAAAGTTGTCATAGCTTTTCCCATTCTCCATCATCTCAGTTTTCTTTGACATTCTAATAAAAATATATGATGTTTAACAACATTCATAAAAAGTTTTTATAATATAAAAAAGGAAAATAGTAACAGTTGTTTTGGCCTGTGGGTTAGATTGTTAATAACTCCCGTATTGAAGAAAACCATATTAAAATGTTAAAATTGTAATGACACTCACTAGTATTTTATTGCCTATTAGCCAGAAATTTTTATAGAGTAACTGATAAAACATATGTAAAGCTTTTCACTTTTCTTATGGAACTCTAGGCAGCTTTTAGTTTGAAGTATTATAAACTGTTAGATTTTACTAAAAGAGATCCAGAAAGTACATTACATTAAATTAACCATGAGATAAGAAAATATAATTTTTACACATATATGGAACACAGATTTGCATATGCATTATTCGCAGGTATGTGGATTGCTCTATAAAGTGTCTGTTTCATTTAGAAGTGAATAATGAACATCTGGTTTCAGCTTGGACATATTAGAAAAAACTAGGTAGTCATCACTTCCATCCTAAAAACAAGAAGAAAGCTTGACAAACTGAAAATCGAAGGCTTTTTTAGACACGTAGGAGAATTCAGGTCACAGGGCAAATTGCTACTCTGGAATCTGGAAAAAAAGACAAACACAGAGGAGCACAACCTAGATAAACTTACTTGGAGAAGAAGCCTCTGGAGCCATAAACTAGTCAAAACTTAAATGGAAATTTCGAGAAATTGCTAGAGGCTAAATGTGGATTAGCTTGAAAGTAAGAAACTACAGTTTTAGGGGTGCTGCAGCACTTTCATGGGCTTTACCTCTAATAACCTCACCACTTTCTGAAGATTAAGACAGTAAAAATCCTCTGATACTTTTGGACAGGGAGAGGCAAAGTAATAACATTGAAATACTCCCAGGGCATTCTCCATAATAAAAGCCTACTAGCCAAAGAAAGCTACTTCATTAGAGCCTTATAACTGGGTAAAGGCATCCATTAGCCAACTCCAGCACCCAAAAGCTTTTCTGTCTCCTCTAAGAAGAGAAAATAAAAGGATAAGAACCACTTTTGAAATTTGGCCCCTATTACCCAATACATCATATCCAACTTTAGGGAAAAAAATTATAATGCATGCTAAAAGGAAGAAAAATACAATCTGAAAGGACAAATCAAGCATCAGAACCAGATGCAGATATGGTGTAGATTTTGTAATTATCATACTGTGAGTTTAAAATAAGTCTAATTCACGTTATAGGCTCTGATGTTGAAATAAACAATGAAAAAACAGATGGGTAATATAAGCAAATACAGTAAAATTCTATGAAACAATCACAAGAAAATGCTAGAAAACTGAAACGGTGTGACAGAAATAAAGAATGTCTTTGATGGGCTCATTAGTATAATAGACATATCTGAGGACAGAAATTGTGAAATTAAAGACATCAATAGAAACTTCCCAAAGTGAAATATCAAGAGTAAAAAATTGTGAAATTAAAGACCTATCAATAGAAACTTCCCAAACTGAAATGTCAAGAGTAAAAGAAATTTGAAAAAGGAACGGAATATGCAAGAATTGAGGGATAGTTATAAAAGATATAAAATATGTATAATGAGAATCCTAGAGAAGAAACAAGAGGGAAAGGAATAGAAGAACTACTTGAACTAATAATGGTTGAGAATTTTCCAAATTAATGGCAGACACCAAATCAAATTCAGAAATCTCAGAGAACACCCTGAAGAACACCAAGAAGAATAGCAAAAAAAAATTTTCACTAGGCTATTATATCAAAAATGGAGATAAAATCTTGAAAGAAGTCATAGGAAAAAAAAACCCACCTTTCTTATAGAAGAACAAGGATAATATTTACATTGGAATTCTTCTCGTCAGAAACCATAAAAGCAAGAGGAGAAAGGAACAAAATATTTAAAATGTTGAAAGAAAAAAAAAGAACACTAAGGTAGAATTCTACATCCAGCAAAATGTGTTTTTCAAAAGAAAAGGGAAATGAAGACTTACTAGACAAAGAAATACTAAGGGAATTAATCACTGGTAGACTTGAACTGCAAGGTCCTGTGAAACACAAGGAATTTGAGGGTGATGAAACTTTTCCACAAATAATGTAATAGTAGGTACAAGATATTACGCATTTGCAAAACTTTTAGAACTTTTCACCAAGCAGTGAAACTTAACGTTTTTAATTTTAAAAAAAATTGTGTAGGAGTTTGGGAGATCTCAGAAAAACATTCAAACTGTGAAAAGATAAACTATATTACAAGTTACTATCATAGAAGCATACAGAGTAGAACAGTGGTTACCAGAGACTGGGGAGAAGAGAAGAAGGGCAGGGAGGATGGGAAGGAGAGGTTGATCAATGGGTCAAAGTTATAATTAGAGAGAAGAAATAAGTTTGTTCTACTGCACAGTATGACAGGGATAACAGTAAGGTATCCTATATTACAAAATGGTTAGAAGAGAGGCTTTTGAATGTTTTCATTACAAATAAATAGGTACATGAGGTAACGGATATGCCAAATACCCTGATTTTGATCATTATACAACATATATATGTAGGAAACAATAAAATTATTACCCCATAAATATGTACAACTATAACGTGTCAATTTAAAAACAAAAAAATAAATTTTAGTAATAGTTATCTCTGAAATTATAGTTGTTGAAATATGCAAACCTTTAACTTTTCACTTCACAACTCTCTACTCTGTTTTACTTTCTATAATTAGTATAAATTATTTTACATTTTGTTGTTGAGGCGGAGTGCAATGGCGTGATCTCGGCTCACTGCAACCTCCGCCTCCTGAGTTCAAGCGATTCTCCTGCCTCAGCCTCCTGAGTAGCGGGGATTACAGGCATGTGCCACTACATCCGGCTAATTTTGTATTTTTAGTAGAGATGGGGTTTCTCCACGTTGGTCAGGCTGGTCTCGAACTCCTGATCTCAGGTGATCTGCCCGCCGCGGCCTCCCAAAGTACTGGGATTACAGGTGCGAGCGACCGCACCTGGCCTATTTTACAATCTTGACAGATATTTTTAAAAGGGGATGATACCCAGTGATCAAGTAAGATTGGACTGAAATACAAGAATGATTAAGTTTTTGGAACTTATGTAAGATTTTTGGAACTAATGTAAGATTAATAGGTTTCAAGATGTGAGAAACACAAGCATTAAAAGATATACAGAAGCAATTTGTAGATAGATTGTGAAAAAGCATTCTTGCAAAATTCAAAATAAAATTCTGATTTATAAATAATCTTATTAAATAAGGAATAAAAATGTACTTCTATAAGATAGAAATTATCCATAATAGGACAGTAGAAAACAACTAATGTAATGGTAAATGCAAAAGGGGTTCCCAGTAAAGCCAGCAATGGAACCTGCTTTGACTACCATTTAAAAACTTTGCTCTATATGTTCATTTCCAATGGTTAAAACCAGGAAAAGAGACAGCAAGAAGACACTTTAGAAAACGAGTATTGCTCAAATATTTCATCTCCTTGGTTAAATTTAATCTTAAATATTTTATTCCTTCTGATGCTATTGCAAATAAGATTGCTTTCTAAATTTCCTTTTCAGGTAGTTTGTTGTTATTGTATAGAAACACAACTGATTTTTTTTTTTTTTTTTTTTTTTTTGAGACGGAGTCTTGCTCTGTCGCCCAGGCTGGAGTGCAGTGGCACAATCTCGGCTTGCTGCAAGCTCCGCCTCCCAGGTTCACGCCATTCTCCTGCCTCAGCCTCCCGCGTAGCTGGGACTACAGGCGCCCGCCATCACGCCCAGCTAATTTATTGTATTTTTAGTAGAGACGGAGTTTCACCATGTTAGCCAGGATGGTCTTGATCTCCTGACCTTGTGATCCGCCTGCCTCGGCCTCCCAAAGTGCTGGGATTACAGGCTTGACCCACCGCACCCGGCAACTGATTTTTTTATATTAGTTTTTTATCCTGAAACTTTAATAAATGTGTTTATTAGTTGTAGTATTTTGTGGAATATTTATGGTTTTTTAAACATAGAATCATGTCATCTGCAAACAGAGACAATTTTACTTTTTCCTTTTGGAATTTGGATGGCTTTTATTTCTTTTTATTGACTAATTGCTCTGGCTAGGACTTTCAGTTCTATGCTGAATAGAATCAGAGGTGTGGGCATCCTGGTCTTGTTTGCTGAAAACTGTAAAACATTGACAGAAAAATTAGTAAAATTATGAAAATAAATTAATGAAATAATGAAGAGATTTCCCATGGTCATAGTTGGAAGACTCAATATTTTTAAAATGTCCATACTTCCCAAGGAAATTCACAGATTCAATGCAAAACTATCAAAATCCCAAGATAAAATTTTAAAGATGTAGTAAAAAAATCTTAAAATTTGTAGTGACATTAAATTAAAATTTATATAGACCCAAAATACCTCAAATAGCCAAAGTAATCTTGAAGAAGAAGATCAAAGCTGGAAGCTTTGTTCCTGGTTTCAAAGTATGTAACAGAGCTATAGTAATGGAAGTAGCATGTTATTGGCATAAAAACAGATACAGATTCCAATGAAACAGCATAGAGAACCCAGAAATAAACCTATACAGATGTGGTCAAGTGATCTTTGACAGGGGTGCCAAGAATATAAAATATGAAAAAGATAGTCTCCTCAACAAATGATCTTGGGAAAACTGGAAATTCACATGCAAAAGAATGAAATTAGACCCTTATTTATACGATACACAAATAAAATCAACTTGAAGTAGATTAAAAACTTAAACCTAAAACCTAAAACTATAAAACTCCCAGCAGAAAACTTAATATAAAAGTTTTTGAGATTATTTTTGGCAATGGTTTTCTGGATATGACAGCAAAAGTACAGACAACAAAAGCATAAATAGACAAGTGGGACTATATCAAACTAAAAAGCACTTGCACAGCAAAGGAAAATATCAAGAGAATAAAAAGGCAGCCTAGAGATTGGAGAAAATACTTGTAAACCACATATCTGATATATGAGAAACTTATACAACTGAGTAGAAAACAATAAAAACAAAACCCAATTAAAAAATGGGCAAAGGACCTGAATAGACATTTTTTCTATAGAAGACATACAAATAGTCAAAAGATATATGTTAAGATGCTCAACATCACTAATCATCAGGAAAATGCAAATAAAAACCACAATGAAATATCCCCTCACATGTGTTAAGATGGCTATTAAAAAATAAACTATTTTTGTAAAAAATATGATAAATGTTGGTGAGGATGTGGAGGTATTAGAACCGTTGTACACTGTTGGTGGAAATGTAAAGTGGTGCAATTGTTATGGAAAACAGTATAGAGATTTCCCAAAAAATATTAAAAACAAAAGTACTATATGATGCATCAATCCCACCTTTATGTATATTTTCAAAAATTTGAAATTAGGATCTTAAAGACATGTGTGTACTCTCACATCCATTGCAAATTTATTAACCATAGCCAAGATATGGAAACAAACTAAATGTCTATCAAGGGATAAATGGATAAAGAATATATGGTGTGTGTGTATATATATATATGTGTGTGTATATATATATATATACATTAAAATATATATGTATTTGGAGGTTGAATAATATTCCATGATATATATGGCATATTTATATCATGGAATATTATGTATAGCATATATATGCCATGTATAATGGAATATTTTATATACTATATATGGCATATATATGTATATCATAGAATATTATTCAATTTTAAATATACACACACACACACCATATCCTGGCTATGGTGAAATTTATTCACCATAGCCAAGATATGGAAACAACCTAAATGTCTATCAAGGGATAAGTGGATAAAGAATATATGGTATTATACATATGTATTTTTTGAATACATATATATTTGAAGGTTAAATAATATTCCGTGATATACATATATATATGGAATATTATTTAACCTTCAAAAAGACGAAAATTCTCCCATATGTGATAACATGAAACCTAGAGGACATTATGCTAAATGAAATAAACCAGACACAAAAACACAAGTACTGCATGATCTCACTTATAAGTGGAATCTTAAAAAATTAAACTCATAGAAGCAAAGAATAGACTAGTGATTGCCAGGGGTTGTGGGGAGGGGGAAATGAGGATGTAAAAGAAATAGCCTGTGGCATGGCAAGTGTAATGCCATATTGAAGTGAAACCACCATGATGACCCTTGTTTGACTCTGGCATACCAAGGTGTTTTGCAGCAAGTTCTTTAGACAATGCCTGTGGCATAGATAACATCTCATAAAGATGCTTATCTAACTTCCTTAGTTGTCATCAGTTTTCGCAAGAAAGTCTGGGATGTGATCAGCTGCACGTGTCTTTACCCTAAAAGCTTGCTGTATAAAAGATACTTTCTGGAGAGTAGGTGCTGGGATTCACTGTGTTGCAGCCATCCAAGGCAACACTTCTGTTCTTAAGTCCCTATTAAACATTTCTTTCTGAGAAACTGGATTTGTCAGCCTCTTTCTTGGACCTCTCATCTCCCTTGGCTGTTGGGGGTAGATCTGCATATACCTGCTCACCTTGGAACAGGGAAGTTGCTGTTCAGTGGGTACAAAGTTTCAATTATGCCAGATGAATAAGTTCTAGGGATCTATTTAATATTATACTGTAGGAGATGGGTGAGAGTGGTGGGAGAAGCTATAGGGAAAGGAGCAGGCCTTCTGAAAGGTCAGAAGGCTCTGCATAGCTTCAAGGGAGAATAAGCTGAAGGCAGCTGTTCTCTGAAACTGAGGCAGAGGGCAAGGAGTAGGTACAAGGAAGTGTAGGGGAATTTATCTTAAATAGGCTTGTTTACTTACCTTGTCTGGAAACCGACCTTTGATCATCAGCGCACAAGACTGCTCCCTGAATGGGGGAACAATAATATTAATTACCCACAGATCGTGTTGGCTCCAGGCTTTTGGCATTATGTCTGTACTGAATAAAATCAAGCAGCTCCAGCTTATCGAGACTGCTCTTTCTTTGGCCCTTAGTGCCGGGCAGTCCCCTAGCTGCTCTTACACTGCATACCTGTGTCTAAGTACTCCTTTCATCTGTCACTCAGCCAGCATCTGCAGGACAGAACCAGCATTGTACAACATTGTGCCTATGGTTAATATTGTATTGTGCATTTAAAACATTTAAGAGTAGATCTTACAATGTTTTCTTACCACAAAAACTAACAAAACACAAATGAGCACAAAGAAGCTTTTGGGAGTGATGAATATGTTTATTACCTTGATTGTGATGATGGTTTCACAGGTGCATGCCTATGTTCAAACTCACAGAATTGTATAATTAAATATGTGCTGTATTTTGTATATCATCTATACCTTAATGAGTTAGTTATAAAAAGAAAAGGAAATGTCTGTCATTTCAAGCAGATATTATTTCAATCTAGGATATCCAAAAGGATAAATTGAAAGTGAGTAGAAATCATATATCTGTAAGTTTAAAATTTTTCCAATTATAATATAAATTTTTAGAAAATAGCTTTTTCAGATACCAAAAATATGATGAGGCAAGGTCTGGACCATAACAGTACCAACAACAAAACTTTCTTCATCTATATTGCTTACGTTTGAAATATTTTCTTGGCCAGGCACAGTGACTCACGCCTGTAATCCTAGCACTTTGGGAGGCCAAGGTGGGTGGATTACCTGACGTCAGGAGCTCTAGTCCAGCCTGGCCAACATGGTGAAACCCCATCTGTACTTAAAAAAATATAAAAATTAGCTGGGCATAGTTGCAGGTGCCTGTAATCCCAGCTACTTGGGAGGCTGAGGCAGGAGAATCGCTTGAACTGAGAAGGCAGTGACCTTGCAGTGACCCAAGATTGCACCATTGCACTCCAGCCTGGGCAACAAGAGCAAAACTCTGTCTCAAAAAAAAAAGAAATATTTTCTTAAGATAAATTCCAAGAAGTGAGATTATTTCATCAATGTATTTAAATGTTATGGCCATTTATAAACAATCAACAAATGTTAAAAAAGAATTATAAACAATAGTAGTAACAATGTGCTTTAAGATTAAATTACTTTTTCTTCCTTTCCAAGTTTTTTTGAGATTTTTTTATGCAATAAATAACAGTAAAAAATGCATTAATTACTGTTGTAGCACAATTTTTCATTAACAGTCTTTAGTTTTTTTTTTTTTTTGAGACAGAGTCTCTATCACCCAGGCTAGAGTGCAATGGCGTGATCTCGGCTCATTGCAACCTCCGCTTCCCGAGTTCAAGTGATTCTCCTGCCTCAGCCTCCTGAGTAGCTGGGATTACAGGCATGTGCCACCACGTGCCTGTATTTTTAGTAGAGATGGGGTTTCACCATGTTGTCCAGGTTGGTCTTGAACTCCTGACCTCGTAATCCACCGGCCTTGGCCTCCCAAAGTGCTGGGATTACAGGCATGAGCCACGGCACCCAGTCGTCTTTTTTTCCCCTTCTTTCCCATTCAATTTATCTGAACAATTTTTCTCAGTGCTCTGAAATGCTTTCTTAATTTACCATCTGGCTTTTGTGGGATAAAGCAGACTCATTTGAATGCACATATTTATACTACATTGCCTATAGTAGATATATGCCCATTCTATGTGTGCATATATACAAATTTATATCTGTGTATATTTCATTTTTGAAGAGATGGAGGACATGAAACTCTAGAAAAATAATTTAAAATAAATACACTGTAGACAATCTTCCAAAATATTAAAAATATAGTAACTTTCAAAGACCACTGTATAAAATGAAGTTCAAGATAATACATTCCATTTAAAACAAAATTTTGAAGAAATTATTATTATTATTATTATTATTATTATTATTATTATTTAGATGGTGTTTCACTCTTGTTGCCTAGGCTGCAGTGCAATGGCGTGGATCTTGGCTCACTGCAACCTCTGCCTCTTGGGTTCAAGCGATTCTCCTGCCTCAGCCTCCTGAGTAGCTGAGATTACAGGCATAAAACCATCTGCTACTGAGAGAAAATCCCTGAATACTGAACCCCTCATTTATAAACATTCAAATGAAAGTTTAATTGGTAATTATAGCATCAAAAACAAACTTAAAGCAGTAAGTTCTGGTTTGATCTCTAGGACTTAGTAAGCAATTCTCAAGCTATTTATTTGTAAATAGTGATAGCTTCCATTAGAAAGTAATGCACTGGCCGGGCGTGGTGGCTCACGCCTGTAATCCCAGTACTTTAGGAGGCTGAGGCAAGCAGATCACGAGGTCAGGAGTTCGAGACCAGCCTGACCAATATGGTGAACCCCCTGTCTCCACTAAAAATATAAAAATTAGCTGGGCTCGGTGGCGTGCGCCTGTAATCCCAGCTACTCAGGAGGCTGAAGCAGGAGAATCCCTTGAACCCGGGAGGCGGAGGTTGCAGTGAGCAAAGATTGCGCCACTGCACTCCAGCCTGGGCCACAGAGGGGGACTCCATCTCACCAAAAAAAAAAAAAAAAAAAAAAGTGGCCCAGCGCAGTGCCTCACGCCTGTAATCCCAGCACTTTGGGAGGCCAAGAGGGGCGGATCACGAAGTCAAGAGATTGAGACCATTCTGGCCAACATGGTGAAACCCCCTCCCTACTAAAAATACAAGAATTAGCTGGGCATGGTGGCAGTGCCTGTAATCCCAGCACTCAGGAGGCTGAGGTAAACAATCACTTGAACCCGGGAGGCGGAGGTTGCAGTGAGCCAAGATGTCGCCATTGCACTCCAGCCTGGGTGACAAGAACGAAACCCCATCTCAAACCCCCCCCCCCAAAAAAAAAGTAATACACAGCACGCTCGAGGACTCACAAGATGACGGCAACCCGTGGGGAGACGGGCTCGAGAACTCGCGAGATGACGGTGGCCATTGAGGAGCTGGGCTTGAGGACTCGCGAGATGACTGCGGCCAATGGGGAGCCAGGCTTGAGGACTCGCGAGATGACACCTGCCGGTGGGACGCGGGCTTGAGGACTCACGAGGCGATGGCGGCTGGTGGGGAGCATGGCGGCCCTTGCTAGGGGCGTTCTACAGTGCGACTGAGGAGGCCCAGGGTGTCCCGTTTGTTTCATCACCAGCAAGAGGCAGGCAGTGGTGCTGTCCGCGGTGGCATTCTTGGAGTGACTGGCGACAGAATACGTTCGTGACGGAACCGGGGTCTGAGGAGAGCTCTCCGCCTGCAGAAATGAGTGAACAGACTGCTGCATTAGATACCTCGTCGCCACGCAATAAGGCGCCTGCCCGTTCTGACAGGACTGTATCCAACAATGACTTGGCAAGTATCTTCCAGTGTCCGGTCTGCTTAGACTATGCGTTACCACCAATTCTTCAGTGTGAGAGAGGCCATCTTGTTTGTAGAAGCTGTCACTCAAAGCTCACATCTTGTCCAACTTGCCGCGGCCCCTTGGGATTGATTCGCAACTTGGCTATGGAGAAAGTGGCTAAGTTTGTACTTTTCCCGTGTAGATATGCCTGTTTGGGATGTGAAATCACTCTGCCACACACAGAAAAAGCAGATCACGAAGAAGTCTGTGAGTTTAGGCTTTATTCCTGCCCGTGCCCTGGTACTGTCTGTAAATGGCAAGGCACCATGGATGCTATAATGCCTCATCTGACTAAAATGCATGAGTACATTACAACAATAGAGGGAGAGGATATAATTTTCCTTGCTACCAGCATTAATCTTGTTGGCGCTTACGATTGGGTGATGATACAGTCCTGTTTTGGCGTTCGCTTCATGTTAGTCTTGCAGAAACAGGAAGATCACAATGGCGGCCAGCAGTTCTTCGCAGTCGTACAGCTGCTGGGAGCAAGCAAGGAAGCTGAAAATTTTGCTTACCAACTTGAGCTAAAGGGTAATCGGCGACGACTGACTTGGGAAGCGACTCCTCTACCTATTCATGAGGACATAGCAAAAGCCATTAAGAATAGAGACTGCTTAATCTTTGACGCCAACACTGCGCTGCTTTTTGCAGAAAATGACGATTTAAGCATCAATGTAGTTATTAGTAAGCGTTGAAATGGCAGTGGAACATTTTCTAGCCAGTGTTTAAAACTGTTTAATTTCACAGAAAATAAGCCACCCATCTGCCTGCCAACCTGAAACTCTTCACAAGTATAAGCTCAACAAATAGAGATAAAAAGAAAGACTGTTGAATACAGGAAACAGTTGTGTGTAGTAACATTAGTATATATAAAGATGAGCATATTTTGCATTAAGAAAGCATTATAAAATAATTTTGAATTTTGTGTTGTAGATTGATTGTATTGTTGAAAAATAATGTTTTGTTTTGTTTTGTTTTTGGGTCTGTGAGTGTGTGTGTATGTGTGTGTGTGTTTTGGTTTTTTTTTTTCTTTTTTCTTTTTTTTTTTTTTTTTTTTTTTTTTTGAGACGGAGTCTAGCTCTGTCGCCCAGGCTGGAGTGCAGTGGCGCGATCTCGGCTCACTGCAAACTCCGCCTTCTGGGGTCACACCATTCTCCTGCCTCAGCCTCCCGAGTAGCTGGGACTACAGGCACCCATCACCTCACCATGTTAGCCAGGATGGTCTGGATCTCCTGACCTAGTGATCCGCCCACCTCGGCCTCCCAAAGTGCTAGGATTACAGGCGTGAGCCACCGAGCTCGGCTGTTTTTTTTTTTTTTTTTTCCTTTAACTGACAAGCCATTTTGAGTGGTCATGGACCACTGCTTTTCCGCTTTGTGAGTCAATACGTAGTGCTACTATGTGGGGTTTTTTTTGTGTGTATTTGCTAGTTTTTTCTTCTAGTTTTTCATTAAATAGATTTGACTTTCTGTTCTGTAATTCAGGTTGCATCTCACTGTTTTGTACCGTTTTAAAGTTAGTGTCTTCTGATATGCATAATTGTTTATGGTAAAATTTATAACATGTGTTCCATACATGTTCTCTTTTCCCCCATTAATTGGTTCATTGGAAATTTTTTTTTTTTTTTGGACAGAGACTCTGTCGCCCAGGCTGGAGTGCAGTGGCGAGATTTTGGCTCACTGCAACCTCCGCCTCCTGGCTGGGTTCAAGCAATTCTCCTGTCTCAGCATCCCAAGTAGCTGGGACTACAGGCGCCCGCTACCACACCTGGCTAATTTTTGTATTTTTAGTAAAGACGGGGTTTCACCATATTGGTCAGGCTGGTCTTGAACTCCTGATCTCAGGTAGTCCACCCTCCTCGGCTTCCTAAAGTACTGGGATTACAGGTGTGAGCCACCATGCCCAGCCAGAAATATTTTAAAATCAGCTGTTTTGTGAAGATAGGAGTTCCAGAAAGTAAAGGTGACATCGGAAAAATTACCAAAAGCTATTTAAAACATCTATAAGATGGTCTTCCCATCTTTCTCTCTTCTACAGATGAGTCATATCTTTGAGATTAATTTTTGAAAGCTTAGAGAATAAATAGATGTTTACAAATACTGAAAATCATTCCTTTTACAAGTATCTTGGACAAATTACGTTTAAAATTTGTTCTTGTGTTTATTGATTGTAAAGGCATTGTCATGCACAGAACTTAATTAAAAGCAAATCATTTGTTTAAAAAGGCACTTTGCAAAAACTGTTTTGGTCTTTCATAATTCTCATTAAAAGAATATATGGCAAATTAAAAAAGAAAGTAAAGAGAATAAATGTTGTAGCTTGGCTCAGTAAACGGCTCTAGCAGCAATGCTGGACTCGTCTTTAAGAAGTGTATAAAATACACATTTTATTTATCCAGTCTATCATTGATGGGCATTTGAACTCATTCCATGTCTTTGCTATTGTGAATAGTGCTGCAATGAACATATACATACATGTATCTTTATAATAGAATGATATATATTCCTTTGGGTATATATCCAGTAATAGGATTGCTGGGTCAAATGGTATTTCTGCTTCTAGATCTTTGAGGAATCGCCACACTGTCTTCCACAATGGTTGAACTAATTTGCATTCACACCAACATTGTAAAAGCATTCCTTTTTCTCCACAACCTGGTCAGGATCTGTTTCTTGACTTTTCAATAATTGCCATTCTGACTGGTGTGAGATGGTATCTCATTGTGGTTTTGATTTGCATTTCTCTAATGATCAGTGATGTTGAGCTTTTTTTTCATATGCTTGTTGGCTGCATGAATGTCTTTTGAGAAGTGTCTGTTCATGTTGTCCTTTGCCCACTTTTTAATGGGGTTTTTTTTTCTTCTAAATTTGTTTACGTTTCTTACAGATGCTGGATATTAGACCTCTGTCAGATGGGTAGATTGCAAAAATTTCCTCTCATTCTGTAGGTTGTCTGTTCACGCTGATGATAGTTTCTTTTGCTGTGCGGAAGCTCTTTAGATTAATTAGATCCCATTTGTCAATTTTGGCTTTTGTTGTTAATTGCTTTTGGTGCTTTTATCATGAAATCTTTGTCCATGCCTATGTCCTGAATGGTATTGCCTAGATTTTCTTCTAGGGTTTTTATCATTTTGGGTTTTGCAGTTAAGTCTTTAATCCATCTTGAGTTAATTTTTGTATAAGGTGAAAGGAAGGGGTCCAGTTTCAGTTTTCTGCATATGACTAGCCAGTTCTCTCAGCACCATTTATTGAACAGGGAATATGCAGCCATAAAAAGGAATGAGATCATATCCATTGCAGGGACAGGGATGGAGCTGGAAGCCATTATCCTCAGCAAACTAATGCAGGAACAGAAAACCAAACACAGCATATTCCATAAGTGGAAGCTGAACGATGAGAGCACATGGACACCTGGGGGGAACAACACACACTGGGGCCTGTTAGGGAGGTGGGAGAAGGGAGAGCATCAGGAAGAATAGCTAATGGATACTGGACTTAATACCCAGGTGGCAGGATGATCTGTGCAGCAAACCACCATGGCACATGTTTACCTATGTAACAAACCTGCACATCCTGCATATGTGCCCCAGAACTTAAAATAAAAGTTGATGAAAAAACAGTGTATAAAGTACACATTTTAAAAAGAAAAGCACCAATGCAGGGAAAGGCATGAAAAGTGGTAAATGAGAGGTACAATTTGTAAGTAATGCAGCTCGGGAAAAAAACAAAACCCTCATTTGGACAATCCTAACAAAGAAACTGAGACTTGGAGCATTCATCTTTAGGTGAGAGATTCATAACCAAAGTCTTGTAGCTGGTAAGTTGTATCACAGTATAATTTGTTTTTTTTAAAAATTTAAGTGATACGTGATTATTTACTTTCATAACTTAAAAAAGTTACAAACCAGTTAGAGAAAAGCAATATTTGGATAAACCTACACATGTCACACAAGATTTGTGGACTTTATAATAAGGAAGCCTAATCACTAATTCAAATACTATGACATGCTTGCAAGAATTAAAAGTGCATATCTTCCATTTTCTTTTAATTCTAGTCAGTTTTATATCTAGCATATAATTAGTCATTGGTTCCTTTCTCCAACTCACCTGTTTAATTGGTATTGCATTTTTTTTTATTTTATTATACTTTAAGTTCTGGGATACATGTGCAGAATGTGCAGTTTTGTTACATAGGTATACATGTGCCATGCTGATTTGCTGCACCCATCAACCCATCATCTACATTAGGTATTTTTCCTAATGCTTTCCCTCCCCTAGGCCCCCACCCACCGACAGGCCCTGCTGTGTGATGTTCCCTTCCCTGTGTCCATGTTCTCATTGTTCAACTCCCATTTATGAGTGAGAACATGCGGTGTTTGGTTTTCTGTTCCTGTTATTTTGCTGAGAACAATGGCTTCCAGCTTCATACATGTCCCTGCGAAGGACATGAACTCAACCTTTTTTATGGCTGCACAGTATTCCATGGTGTATATGTGCCACATTTTCTTTATCCAGTCTGTCATTGATGGGCATTTGGATTGGTTCCAAGTCTTTGTTCTTGTGAATAGGGCTGCAATAAACATACGTGTGCATGTGTCTTTATAGTAGAATGATTTATAGTCCTTTGGGTATATACCCAGTAATGGGATTGCTGGGTCAAATGGTATTTCTGGTTCTAGATCCTTGAGGAATCACCACACTGTCTTCCACAATGGTTGAACTAATTTACACTCCCACCAACAGTGTAAATGCATTCCTATTTCTCTATATCCTCTCCAGCATCTGTTGTTTCCTGACTTTTTAATGATCGCCATTCTAACTGGTGCAAAATGGTATCTTGTTGTGGTTTTGATTTGCATTTCTCTAATGACCAGTGATGATGAGCGTCTTCTCATATGCTTATTGGCCACATAAGTATCTTCTTTTGAGAAGTGCCTGTTCTTATCCTTTGCCCACTTTTTGATGAGATTGTTTGTTTGTTTTTTTCTTGTAAATTTGTTTAAGTTCCTTGTAGATTCTGGATATTAGCCCTTTGTCAGATGGATAGATTGCAAAAATTTTCTCCCATTCTGTAGGTTGCCTGTTCACTCTGATGATAGTTTCTTTTGCGGAAGCTCTTTAGTTTAATTAGATCCCATTTGTCAATTTTGGCTTTTGTTGCCATTGCTTTTTGTGTTTTAGTCATGAAGTCTTTGCCCATGCCTGTGTCCTCAATGGTATTGCCTAGGGCTTCTTCTAGGGTTTTTATGGTTTTAAGTCTTATGCTTAAGTCTTTAATGCATCTTGAGTTAATTTTTCTATAAGGTGTAAGGAAGGGGTCCAGTTTCAGTTTTCTGCATATGGCTGGCCAGTTTTCCCAACACCGTTTATTAAATAGGGAATCCTTTCCCCATTGCTTGTTTTTGTCAGGTTTGTCAAAGGTCAGATGGTTGTAGATGTGCGGCATTATTTCTGAGGCATCTGTTCTGTTCCATTGGTCTATATATCTGTTTTGGTATCAGTACCATGCTCTTTTGGTTACTGTAGCCTTGTAGTTTAGTTTGAAGTCAGGTAGTGTGATGCCTCCAGCTTTGTTCTTTTTGCTTAGTATTGTCTTGGCTATAAGGGCTCTTTTTTGGTTCCATATGAAATTTAAAGTAGTTTATTCTAATTCTCTGAAGAAAGTCAATGGTAGATTGATGGGGATAGCATTGAATCTATAAATTACTTTGGGCAGTATGGCCAGTTCCATGATACTGGTCCTTCCTATCCATAAGCATGGAATATTTTTCCATTTGTTTGTGTCCTCCCTTATTTCCTTGAGCAGTGGTTTATAATTCTCCTTGAAGAGGTCCTTCACATCCCTTGTAAGTTGTATTCCTAGGTATTTTATTCTGTTTGTAGCAATTGTGAATGGGAGTTCATTCATGATTTGGCTCTCTGTCTATTATTCGTGTATAGGAATGCTTGTGATTTTTGCACATTGGTTTTTTATCCTGAGACTTTGCTGAAGTTGCTTATTAGCTTAAGGATATTTTGGGCTGAGACGATGGGGTTTTCTAAGTATAGAATCATGTCATCTGCAAACAGAGATGATTTGACTTCCTCTCTTCCTATTCGAATACCCTTTATTTCTTTCTCTTGCCTGATTGCCCTGGCCAGAACTTCCAATACTGTCTTGAATACGAGTGGTGAGAGAGAGTATCCTTGTCTTGTGCCAGTTTTCAAAGGGAATGCTTCCAGCTTTTGCCCATTCAGTATGATACTGGCTGTGGGTTTGTCATAAACAGCTCTTATTATTTTGAGATACGTTCCATCAATACCTAGTTTATTAAGAGTTTATAGCATGAAGTGGTGGGATTTGATAAAATCCAAAGGCCTTTCCTGCATCTATTGAGATAATAATATGGTTTTTGTAATTGGTTCTGTTAATGTCATGGATTACATTTATTGATTTGCATATGTTGAACTAGCCTTGCATCCCAGGGATGAAGCTGACTTGATCGTAGTGGATAAGCTTTTTGCTGTGCTGCTGGATTCGGTTTGCCAGTATTTTATTGAGGATTTTCACATTGATATTCATCAGGGATATTGGCCTGAAATTTTCTTTTTTTGTTGTGTCTCTGCCAGGTTTTGGTATCAGGATGATGCTGGCCTCATAAAATGAGTTAGGGAGGAGTCCCTCTTTTTCTATTGTTTGGAATTGTTTCAGAAGGAATGGTACCAGCTCCTCTTTGTACCTCTGGTAGAATTCAGCTGTGAATTCATCTGATCCTGGGCTTTTTTTGGTTCGCAGGCTATGAATTACTGCCTCAATTTCAGAACTTGTTATTGGTCTATTCAGGAATTCGACTTCTTCCGAGTTCAGCCTTGGGAGGGTGTATGTGTCTAGGAATTTGTCCATTTCTTCTATATTTTCTAGGTTATTTGCATAGAGGTGTTTATAATATTCTCTGATGGTAGTTTGTATTTCTGTGGGATCAGTGGTGATATCCCCTATATCATTTTTTATTGTGCCTATTTGATTATTCTCTCTTTACTTCTTTGTTAGTCTGGCTAGCAGTCTATCTATTTTATTAATCTTTTCAAAAAAACAGCTGCTGGATTCATTGATTTTTTTGAAATGTTTTTTGTGTCCCTATCTCCTTCAGTTCTGCTCTGATCTTAGTTATTTCTTGTCTTCTGCTAGCTTTTGAATGTGTTTGCTCTTGCTTCTCTAGTTCTTTTAATTGTGATGTTAGGATGTCGATTTTAGATCTTTCCCACTTTTTTCTGTGGGCATTTAGTGCTATCAATTTCCCTCTAAACACTGCTTTAGCTGTGTCCCAGAGATTCTGGTATGTTGTGTCTTTGTTCTCATCGGTTTCAAAGAATTTATTTATTTCTGCCTTAATTTTGTTATTTACCCAGTAGTTATTCAGGAGCAGGTTGTTCAGTTTCCAGGTAGTTGTGTGGTTTTTAGTGAGTTTCTTAATCCTGAGTTCTAGTTAGATTGCACTGTGGTCTGAGAGACTGTTATGATTTCCGTTCTTTTGCATTTGCTGAGTAGTGTTTTACTTCCAATTACGTGTTCAATTTTAGAATAAGTGGGACAGGGTGCTGAGTAGAATGTATATTCTATTGATTTGGGGTGGAGAGTTCTGTAAATGTCTATTAGGTCCTCTAGGTCCAGAGCTGAGTTCAAGTTCTGAATATACTTGTTAATTTTCTGTCTCATTGATCTGTTTAATATTGACAGTGGGGTGTTAAAATCTCCCACTGTTATTGTATGGGAGTCTAAGTCTCTTTGTAGGTCTCTAAGAACTTGCTTTACGAATCTGGGTGTTCCTGTATTGGGTGCATATATATTTAGGATAGTTAGCTCTTCTTGTTGCATTGATCCCTTTATCATTATGTAATGCCCTTCTTTGTCTTTTTTGATCTTTGTTGGTTTAAAGTCTGCTTTATCAGAGACTAGGATTGCAACCCCTGCTCTTTTTTTGCTCTCCATTTGCTTGGTAAATATTTGTCCATCCCTTTATTTTGAGCCTATGTGTGTCTTTGCACGTGAGATGGTTCTCCTGAATATAGCACACTGATGGGTCTTGACTCTATCCAATTTGCCAGTCTGTGTCTTTTAATTGGGGTAGTTAGCCCACTTACATTTAATATTGTTATGCATAAATTTGATCCTGTCATTATGATGCTAGCCAGTTATTTTGCCCATTAGTTGATGCAGTTTCTTCATACAATTTGGTATGTTTTTACAGTGGCTTGTACCGGTTTTTCCTTTCCATATTTAGTGCTTCCTTCAGGAGGTCTTGTAAGGGAGGCCTGGTGGTGGCAAAATCTCTCAACATTTGCTTGTCTGTAAATGATTTTATTTCTCCTTCGCTTATGAAGCTTAGTTTGGCTGGATATGAAATTCTGGGTTGGAAATTATTTTCTCTAAGAGTGTTGAATATTGGCCCCCACTCTCTTCTGGCTTGTATGGTTTCTGCAGAGATCCGCTGTTAGTCTGATGGGCTTCCCTTTGTGGGTAACCCGACCTTTCTTTCTGGCTGCCCTTAACATTTTTCCTTCATTTCAACCTTGGTGAATCTGACGATTATGTGTCTTGGGGTTGCTCTTCTCGAGGACTATCTTTGTGGTGTTCTCTGGATTTCCTGAATTTGAATGTTGGCCTGTCTTGCTAGGTTGGGAAGTTCTCCTGGATAATATCCTGCAGAGTGTTTTCCAACTTGGTTCCATTCTCCCCGTCACTTTCAGGTACACCAATCAAACGTAGGTTTGGTCTTTTCTCATTGTCCCATATTTCTTGGAGGCTTGTTTGTTCCTTTTCATTCTTTTTTATCTAATCTTGTCTTCACACTTTATTCCATTAAGTTGATCTTCAATCTCTGACATCCTTCCACTTGATTGATTAGGCTATTGATACTTGTGTAAGCTTCACAAAGTTCTTGTGCTGTGTTTTTCAGTTCCATCGGGTCATTTATGTCCTTCTCTAAACTGGTTATTCTAGTTAGCAATTCCTCTAACCTTTTTTCAAGGTTCTTAGCTTCCTTGTATTGGGTTAGAACATGCTCCTTTAGTTCAGAGGAATTTATTATTACCCACCTTCTGAAGCCTACTTCTGTCAATTTATCAAACTCATTCTCTGTCCAGTTTTGTTCCCTTGCTGGCAAGGAGTTGTGATCCTTTGGAGGAGAAGAGGTATTCTGGTTTTCAGAATTTTCAGCCTTTTTGCTCTGGTTTTTCCTTATCTTTGTGGATTTATCTATCTTTGGTCTTTGATGCTGGTGACTTTTGGATGGGGTTTGTATGGACATCCTTTTTGTTGATGTTGCCCCTATTCCTTTGTGTTTGTTAGTTTTCCTTCTAACAGTCAGGCCTCTCTGCTGCAGGTCTGCTGGAGTTTGCTGGAGGTCCACTCCAAAGCCTGTTTGCCTGGGTATCATCAGTGGAGGCTGCAGAACAGCAAAGACTGCTGCCTATTCCTTCCTCTGGAAGCTTTATCCCAGAGGGGCGCCTACCAGATGCCAGCCGGAGCTTTCCTGTATGAGGTGTCTGTCGACCCCTGCTAGGAGGTGTCTCCCAGTCAGGAGGCATGAGGGTCAGGGTCCCACTTGAGGAGGCAGTCTGTCCCTTAGCAGAGCTCGAGTGCTGCGCTGGGAGATCCGTTGCTGTCTTCAGAACCAGCAGGCAGGAACCTTTAAGTCCACTGAAGCTGTGCCCACAGCCGCCCCTTCTCCCGCTTGCTGTGTCCCAGGGAGATGGGAGTTTTATCTATAAGCCCCTGACTTTCTTTCAGAGATGCCCTGCTCAGAGAGGAGGAATCTAGAGAGGCAGTCTGGCTACACTGGCTTTGCCAAGCTGCGGTGGGCTCCACCCAGTTCAAACTTCCCGGTGGCTTTGTTCACACTTTGAGGGAAAAACCACCTACTCAAGCCTCAGTAATGGCAGACGCCCCTCCCCGCACCAAGCTTGAGCGTCCCAGGTCGACTTCAGACTGCTGTGCTGGCAGCAAGAATTTCAAGCCAGTGGATCTTAACTTGCTGGGCTCTGTGGGGGTGGAATCCACTGAACTAGACCACTTGAGTCCCTGGTTTCAGCCCCCTTTCCAGGGGAGTGAACGGTTCTGTCTCACTGGCATTCCAGGCACCACTGGGGTATGAAAAAAAACTCCTGCAGCTAGCTCCATGTCTGCCCAAATGGCCGCCCAGTTTTGTGCTTGAAACCCAGGGCTCTGGTGGTGTAGGTTCCTGAGGGAATCTCCTGGTCTGTGGGTTGCAAAGACCGTGGGAAAAGCATAGTATCTGGGCCGGAATGCAGCATTCCTCACTGCACAGTCCCTCACAGCTTCCCTTGGCTAGGGGAGGGAGTTCCCCCACCCCTTGTGCTTCCCAGGTGATGCGACACCCCACCCTGCTTTGGCTCACCCTCCATGGGCTGCACCCACTGTCTAACCAGTCCCAATGAGATGAGCTGGGAACCTCAGTTGGAAATGCAGAAATCACCTGCCTTCTGCGTTGATCTCACTGGGAGCTGCAGACCAGAGCTGTTCCTATTCGGCCATCTTGCCAGCCACTCCGGTATTGCATTTTTATCATCCCTAAGAAATAGAAATTGGATAAGCATTTGTAGAACACTTAAAAAGCCCTAGATGAGTATAACAAGACCATATATTGTAAATCTAAATGAGAAATTAGGCATTTATCTTTAAAAAATAAATGAATAAAGAGCTTCCATAGTTATGGAAGCAATTATATTTAGCAGCTTATATTTTAGTAAAACAAAAAGGTTCTAAACAATATATGTTCGAACTATGCCACTAATTTCTACATAATTTTTTTCCAATGAAAAACCTTTTTCTTGGCAATGTCATTTTAATTTTATTTCTAAACAATTGCTCTTTTAATTGGATCTTTATTGGTTATTAAGTATTATGAAAGAGGCAGGTAGTCTGCTTCTTGTACAATTATTACAAAGAATAACAACAAACCCGGAAACCTGTCTGCAATGAACCTCAAACCAAATGTTGTGGTAATGATTATAAGAAGAAAACAATGTTCCTGAAAAATTATCAGTAATGTTTTTTCACAGGAGTGTAAATGTGATTACTTTAATCCCTGTATTCCACTACTCAGACCATGGGAATCTTACTCAAAAGGAAACGGAAATAAATAAAAACTTGGCTAGGGTGCTTAAGTTTTTCAGAGTCATGGAAAAATTCTGGAATGATTTGAAAAAGGCTTCTGTGTAACAGAATAATTGTAATAAGAGAATGTAAATCTCTTCTTTAATTAAAGGAGATTTTTAGTCTATCTAAAGAGAGTGTTGGGGAAAAATCTAATAGGAATAGTAAATGTAGCTATTAAGATTTTCAGTAGCACGAGATTTTATTTTGACAAATGAAGTATTTTTCTGCTAAACACTTTTTAAAGTAGTTTATTTTTTTAAAAACATACATATTTTTGAAACCAGGAAAAAAAATTCCCTAGTAAACAAATCATTTTTTTAAGTTAGAGATTGTTTTTCTCTTCTTTTCTCCTATTCCTTAAAATCTACATATAAAGACACAAGTTTAAGGCTGAGAAACATAATTTTACAATAGTCATTTTTCTATTAAATACAATTTTTAAAATATTTACTGAATGTTTGTCCTGTGCTAAGCATATGCTAAATACTTCCCATTCACCCTCTTAGTTTACACCTGCAATGAACATATGAGGTACTCATTAGACCCATTTTAAAGCTGAGCAATCTGAGGCTTAGAGAAGCTTTGGCTAACAGCCCAAATCATGCAGTTACTAAGTGGCCAAGGCGTATACCTTCCCCTGGCATAGAATATTAAAAAGGACATATTAAGTCATGTGCAAATATCACCAAATCTGCTGCAGAATACATAGGATTTTAATGGTAAAAATAGCAAAATAATTCAAAGGGTGCTCATTGGTCACCTAAACTACTTTATCTTTTAGAAAACCTTCAAAAGCCAGTTTCCTTGGGAACAGGAAAATCTGACAGTCTTTGCTATTATTGCACTTGGTCCCCTCACACCCACCCTGCTTCCTCCACTGGCTTCATGCTTCTCCTCTCCCTATCACTAAGGAGGAGTACTGTTAAGAAAAATCTCTGTGTGACTTCGATTTCATCAACTTGTCAATTTCATGGAAGCAGGTTAATTCTGTAGAGAAGTTTTTGTTGTTGCTGATGATAAGTATTTGGTCTATACACGTTATATTACACAGGATCAAATGAATTTTAATAAAGTTTTGTTTCTCTAATATCATACTACTCTGTAAACTCTGAGTAGTGAGACTAAAGATGAAAGCCTGAAGGATCCTCCTAAGCCTCCTCTAATACTCCTACTCTTACCATTTTCCTACTTTCTTCCTTCTTTTCTCTCTTCATCTCCTTTTATCTATATTTTAACCTTATGTCTAAATCACTTTCTTACACTTTATCTACCCTCCAATAGGGGATCAAAAATAATGTGAAGAGAAGGAAATTGTATGGCTGATAGTGAACAGTGATAGTATAATCTAGTGTATTGGTAGGTTACATCTGCCTTTACTGTGCATAATACAACAATCATCCCCCACCAGTTTTAGGTTTATAATTTCTCCCCAAAATAGGGTAATCTTGAAAGTATGTCTTTGGGGTATTTTTACCACCCCTGAACAAAACTTGTATGCTACATATTTTATTTCCTAAGGGTCGTGTTTATTAAGCATCCTATAGTTAAAACCAACTAATAAACCAAAACTAAATTCATCTAATTTGGCTTTCTCGCAAGGATAGAATCTCATGGGGTCTTTTCAACATCCTTGGAAGCACATGAGGTTCATGGCTATCTAGAATCCCAGGATCTAAGTACCTAAGATTGGCAGCCATAATTCTAGCTTTGTAAGTTAATTTTCTTCTTCCTTCTTTTTTTATTTTTTTAAAATATGTTGGTTGTACTCGTTGTTCTTTCTATACCACATTGTTAACATAAAATGAGCATAACAGAGATACCATGTATAACAAAAGATGATTATTAAAATCTACAGGATTCAGAATTGTGTTATAGAAAACAGTAATGTTTTAGTTTTAGGAACAAATGCATGGGTTTTTTTTTTTTTTCTGCAGCAAAATGTCAAAGCAGTGTTAGTTCAGGTCCCTATTAAAACTACATGCTCTTCCTGATCCATAGAAGAGAAAAAGATAAATTGGAATTCATCAAAATGTAAAAGTTCTCTTCAAAAAAACACAGTTAAGACCATGAAATAACAAGCCCTGAGCTGAGAGAAAATATTTGCAAAACATAGATCAAATAAATAAATTTTATCTTAAACATATAAAGAAATATCAAAACTCAACAATAAGAAAACAAAACCTCAGTTAAAGCTGGGAAAAATAGTTGAGTAGACATTTTACCAAAATATCTCTGTGAATAACAATCACATTAAAAGGTATTCAACATCATTATTCATTAAGAAAATGCAGATTACAATGTAGTAGTACTAGACGCTTATTAAAATGGTTGAAATTAAAATGACTAACCACACTATTTCCAAGGATGTAGAGGAGCTGGATTCCCATACACTGTTGGTAGGAATGAAAAATAGAACCGCTTTGGAAAATTGCCAGGCAGTTTCCTTAACAGTTAAACATACATATACCATCCATAGGATTTTACCCAAAAGATATGAAAGCATATATCTGTACAGAGATTTGTATGTTCATAACCATATGTACATAGCAGCTTTATTTGTAATTTATAAAAGTTGGAAACACCCCAATGTCTGTCAACAGGCAGATCACTAAACAAATTTTGTTATACTGATACCATAGAATTCTACTCAGCAATAAAAGAAATGAACTATTGACACATGTGAATGAATCTCAAAATAATTATGTCAAATAAAAGAAGCTAGACCAAAGAGAGTACACACTGTATGTTTTCATTTATATAAAATTCTAGAAAGTGTATACTCTAGTGATAGAAAACAGATATTTCGTTGCCTAAGGAAATGGTAGATTGGCATGAAGGAAGCAGAAAGGGAAAGGTTTACAAATGAACACAAGGAAAATTTCCAGAGTGGTTGCTTTGATTTAGACTGTTTTGATAGTTGCATGAGGCTATACAAATGTTAACACGTCTCACATTTTATACTTTAAATATGAGCGATTTAACATATGTCAATTACACCTCAATAATCCTGCTACAAATCACTGTATGCTTCAGAGACTGTACTCACCATTCCCAGGGAAGTATTTCTCAGCAGGATAATGACGGTAGTTGAGAACTGTCACCCAACATTGGAAGTACTGCACAAACAGGGTGTGTAAGTGGAGCTTACAACCACTTATAGATTTCTTTTGGGCACTGGCAATGCCAAGTGCAAGATAATTAATGCAGAATAATTAATGAAGCCTCTATATTTCAATAATTAGAGAAGCTTTACATGGCTATCATCTGTCTCCATTCATCAACTTATCTTAGTTTTATCAATGTGCTTTAGTCAAGTATGTTTTACTGGTATCAAATGCAACTGTAATCACCTGCTTGGATGCACTGCACTATGAAGGTGGCTTCCTAAGTCTCCATGTAAAACCTTCGATTTTAAAGTTTTAGAATCGCTGAAGGATCTTCTAACCCTACAAATTTAAATAGGGTGTTTTATTCCTTATATATTAGAAAAGCATTTTTGAAGAGTATTTGAATTTGAAAAGAAATTCTAAAAAATGTATGATATTTGAATAAAATAGTTTTTTATAACAAACCCTTATATCTTAAATTCTTATCTAAATACTATACATGAGAAAAGCCTACCAAATCATGTTTTCATTTGACTGTAAATAACCCCTCACAAGATATACAAATTATTTTTGATTTGCCAAGCAAGACACACACACACACAAACACACACACGTGAGCACACACATGCACACAAACGAAGAGTTTTATCTTCTCAATATACATGCAAAATATATCCTGGTAGTTCTGAATTCAAATGTAAAGACTTTTACAGGTGGATTCATTAACCATTAGAGCCTTTCTTCCTAAAGCAACCTGAATTTATATTCAGTAGAGCATCTACAGCCTGACTTATATTCCCAGGGAGAACTAAGTCTATAATACATAATCAAGAATTAAAAGTGAATGTTGTGCCAATTAAATATGGGCCTCATGGAAAATACTGGAGTTGTAGGAGTGTCTTTCCTTCAGCCTGACAGAATGTATGCCATTGTATGCTTTTCTTCAGGTTTCTAAGTCTTCCTTGATGGTTCTTATATATTTTATGTTTTATTATACTCCTGTTATTGCACTACTATGTTTTTAATATTTTAGAAACCATTTTATTTTTGAAATGCACTGTTTCTTCTCTTTAGTAATAGCTGGATACTTGCTGCTATATGCCAAGTATTAGTCTGGAGGCCAATTCTGGCATGAAAGTCAAAGGACAGATCATTTCATGTAATAACAGAAAATGTAGTATGTGTCATGATTCATTGATGTATTAACACTAAAGAATTTATCTCTAGCCATTCATCTAAATTAGAATTGGGACTAGAATTAGTACATATCTTGATTTGAGGATCAGGGGGCTGAAAGAAAAGGTCTAGTGCTCACGAATCCTGGAGGGTAACACCATGAAGGCAGCTAAAACTGGTATGAAACATCAGAGCCACCTTGGAAAGCAGAGATGGTAAAAGCAAAAAGGAGAGTTTTGAGGACCATGAAGGGATCTGAGAAAACCTAATCTACTCTCTTCACGGTAGATCAAAACCCTCATTTTGCACACCATTCCTCTCACCTAAAAGATCATACAATGCTTTGTAGCAACCAAAACTTGTTTTGAAAGACTAGTAGCACCTGATTGTTTTTTATGCTTTTACAACTATGCAATAAACAACACTGGTGATGGGAGCAAGCTAGCAAAATACAAATTAGATTTCAGTGAAACTTTTGGCATCATCCTTCCAGGCTTTCTAATGAAATGAGCTAGGAGAGGGTGGGAGACAAATGAAGTCCAAAATCCCTATATACCCATATCATGTTAAGAGAGTTATTTTTAAAGGGATGTATAATCATCTGGCCATCACTTCTAGGCATTTGCCTGTTAACATAAGAAGAGAACAGTGGGAAGAAAGAGAAAATGGAAAAAGCAGTAATCTACATTGGATAATACTTTAACATTTCCTATGGTGGTATGGTCACTAAGTTTCTTTCAACATTAATAAGAGATGGTATGTTGGAAACAATCTGTCTGTCCACAGGCAAACATGTATGATTTCATTTATACTTGGAATGTAAAGTAGTCATATTTATAGAAGCAGTGAGTAGTAAGGTGGTGGCTAGGGGCTGTGGGAGAGGGAACGGGGAAGATGTTGGTCAAAGTATAGAAACTTGCAGTTATAAAGTGGGTAAGTTCTAGAGACCTAATAATAGCATGTTGACTGTAGGTGGAGAAAGATGTGATACTTTTCCTTCTTGAGCATAAGGATCAGGGTCAACGCTCATATAACAAAAGGCAGGTTAACAATAGGAAAGTATAACAAATTTATTTAATCAAATTTTTATATGACACAGGAGCCCTCAGAAATTGATAGTGACAGGTGGCAGTCAAATGCCTAGGCAGATAGGGGCAGATCTCCTGTGAAACCCCACCTCCAAGAGGAAGACAGTTTAAAGCCTGAAAGCTAAGCTACAAGTTAAATCCTCACAGGATTGAGAACCTTCCCTTTTGGCAAGCCTTCCTGTGATTGATCCTCACCTTTCACCTATTTTACATATACCTACCCTTTCCTAATTGGTTTTCTACACTGTTGTGCCCACCTTTGAGTGGTATCTTCACTTTAACCTTTTTTGCGTACTCACAAACCAGCCAGCATACACTCCCCATTCTGAGTCTATAAACAACCAGGGACCCAGCCACACAGGGAGAAACCACCTGACTGCGGGGGTGGGGGAACAACCCCGTGCCCCTACATCCCCTCTCCTCTGAGAGCTGTTCCATCACTCAATAAAATCCTCTGCTTTCATCACCCTTCGATCCTCAGCATGACCTTATTCTTCTTGGATGCTGGACAAGAGCTTGGGACCCACAGAGCACGGGTACTCTGAAAGGCTGTTGCACTGGCCTTTTGCCCTCACTGGTGGATGGCAGAATCCCTGTATGATGGGGCAAGAGGCCAACTGAGCTGCTAACATGCCGCCATTCATCAAGCTGTGGATGGTGGAACTAAAAGAGCTAATTAACACAGTAACACCCCTTCTGGGGCTTCCGTATCATGTGCTCCCCTGCCTGGGTGCCGCTGCATTTCCCTCGATGTAACTTACACACCTGGTCTGGCTGTGGGCCCGGCACAGAGGTTGCTTCTGTGTTGGCACTTGGACTGGCCAGCTGAACCCCCGCACTCATTGCTCATGTGCTCCCTCCTGCAAGGGGCTGAGCATGGCTGGCCAAGTAGACAGGATGCCCCTGCTGCGTGTCTGGCAAAGGGGCCAAGAAAAATCATGCTTCAAAATGAACATCCAAAGACCCAGGGAAAACAGTCTGTTTTTATGCTTAGGTGCAATGAAGAATTAACAGCTGCATAGAAATGTAATTGTACAAAAAGTATGATCTAGTGGTAATAGACTGAGGAAGGAAACCCAACAAGGCCTTTCCAAAATTTTCTTGGACACCCTGTGTGGCATTCCTTCCCCGAGGGTATGAGGCAGGACCCCTCTGAAATTAGGGTCTTCAAAGAGAAAGCAGAAGGGAGATAGTGACCTTTCTAGGTCTTATGTCTTGCTCTGGGAGAGAGCGGTTCTAGATCCTATGACCTGCCTTGAGGGTGAGGAATTATGTTTGGGAGAAGGAGACAGGGGAGCAGGAGAAAGTCAGAGAGACTTGTTTCTGAGACTGTATCTGAAGCCTTCCAACCTCCTTTTCTTCAAATTACTCAGCATGCCAAAACCACCATACTTTGGGGTATTGTGTTCTCAGCTCCAACTGTGACTACAGTTAATAATAATATATTGTATACTTGAAATTTGCTAAGAGAGTAGATCTTAAGTGTTCTCACCTCACACAAAAAAGATGGATATGTTAACTAGCTTGATTGTGGTGATTATTTCACAATATATGGGTATATAAAAACATCAAATTGTATACCTTAAGTATATCCAGATTTTATTTGTCAATTATACCTCAATAAAGCTGAAAGAGAGAAAGACAGACAGTAATGGCACAGAGATACATAACAAAGACTCTGGATACTTTGGTTCAACTCCCAGGTATACCACTGATTAGTTACATGAATGTCAACAATTTACTTAAGTTCTTCATGCCTTAGTTTCTTCTCCTCTGTAAAACAGGAAAAATAACAGCATCTATATCAATCAGATGTTTCTGAGAATCAGAGAAAAAAATATATATATAGTGTTTGTAGTTACGATTAATAAAAGAGCCATGTGTTGCTCAGTAGCTATTAGAAGACATAAAAATGAAACTGATAATCACAAGCAAAATTCTCATTAATCTCAAATACTATACATAGTTTTCTCAAAGATACAAGTAAGTGGTTGATTTTATATTTGTATATTCTAAACCAACTTCCAAATAGATTTTTTTCTAAGGCTTGCTTTATTTACATATTAAAAGATAAATTTTAATTAACACTGTTGTTTGCATGCAAAGAATGTTCTTACATGATTTTTTCTAAATAGTTTTCTAATGTCAGCAGATAAAATGAGGTGAAAATTGAAGTCAGTGTATTAAAAAAGAGTGATAAACATTATTGAGCACTTACTAGGCAAGCCCATTTCATATATTTTTATTTAATACCTATAACCACCCTGAAGGGTTAAATATTATCTATATTTTACAAATAAGAAACCTGACATTTGGTAAGGTTAAGTAAATTATCCAAGGTCACACAACCAGAGAATGACATAATTAAGTGGCAAGACCAGCTCGGTCGGGGAGACCCTAACACAGCAGCGCTAGAGGAATTAAAGACACACACACAGAAATATAGAGGTGTGAAGTGGGAAATCAGGGGTCTCACAGCCTTCAGAGCTGAGAGCCCCGAACAGAGATTTATCCACATATTTATTAAGAGCAAACCAGTCATTAGCATTGTTTCTATAGATATTAAATTAACTAAAAGTATCCCTTACGGGAAACGAAGGGATGGGCCAAATTCAAGGAATAGGTTGGGCTAGTTAACTGCAGCAGGAGCATGTCCTTAAGGCACCAATCACTCATGCTATTGTTTGTGGCTTAAGAATGCCTTTAAGCGGTTTTCTGCCCTGGGCGGGCCAGGTATTCCTTGCCCTCATTCCCCTAAACCCACAACCTTCCAGCGTGGGCGTTAGGGCCATTATGAACATGTTACAGTGCTGCAGAGATTTTGTTTATGGCCAGTCTTGGGGCCAGTTTATGGCCAGATTTTGGGGGGCTTGCTCCCAACAATTAAGAGTTGAAGTCATGCTGTCCAATTGCATAAAATATATCATTATTTTACTTTATTTTATTTATTATTTCTTTGAGACAGAGTCTTGCTCTGTCACCCAGGCTGGAGTGCAGTGGCACAGCCTTGGCTCACTGCAACCTCTGTCTCCATCTCCTGGGTTCAAACAATTCTTGGGCTTCAGCCTCCCAAGAAGCTGGGACTACAGGCATGAGCCACCACACCCGGCCCAGGGAAAACAGTCTGTTTTTATGCTTAGGTGCAATGAAGAATTAACAGCTGCATGCATAGAAATGTAATTGTATGAAAAGCGTGATCTAGTGGTAATAGTCTGAGGAAGGAAATCCAACAAGGCCTTTCCAAAATTTTCTTATGCATGGAATGAAAATACGAATACTTCCAACATTACTAGTTGTTATCCCATCAAGGGGTGGTAGTGCTATGAAGCCACTAGAAGAGCATGCAGAAGCCAGTAAATACATGATTGATCTTATATCCTGTGTGGCATTCCTTCCCCACATATATAAGGCAGGACCCCTCTGGAGCAAGGGTCTTCAAGGAGAAGGGAGAAGGGAGAGAGTGCCCCTTCTAGGTTTTATGGCTTGACTAACTTTTGTTAGTCAACTTTTGCATTTTTAGTAGAGACAGGGTTTCGCCATGTTGGCCAGACTGGTCTAGAACTCCTGGCCTCAAGAAATTCACCCACCTCAGCCTCCCAAAGTGCTGGGATTACAGGTGTGAGCCACCACACCCAGCCAAGAAGATCTCTCATGTATTTAGTGCCCTCTACATGTTCTGTTAGTGGCTTCACAGCACTACCACCCCTTGATAGCATAACAACTAGTAATGTTGGGAGTAATCATATTTTCATTCCATGCATAAGAAAATTGGGGGGTTGAATAACCAGACCGAGGTCCCAGAGGCGGGAGGTGTCTCAGAGTCTGTCTTGCACGTAATATGGATTATAAAAGCAATCATATGCTGATAATCGCCTTTGAGTTTTAAAAAGCTATATTTAAAAATAAAATATTACATATTTCTATTATACATAAATTAAAATTAGATTTTGTGAAAAATGATACTAAGTTGTTACAATAATATTGTTGAAAATCTTGAAATAGCTGCACACCATTTAAGTGGCAAAAATCAAAGGATGGCTTGCTCAGGATATAAAAAGTACCTTGGCTTATATTCAAGAACAAAGAAAAGTCTCAAAAAAGCTCTCATTAAAAAGAAAAGTATTTTACACACAAAAATGGTAACTATGTTAGGTAATGGATATGCTGATTAGCTTGATTGTGGTAATTATTTCACTATATATATATTAACACATCACATTTTACACACTAAATATATACAATTTTGGTTAATCAGACCTCACTAAAGCTGGAGAAAATAGCATTTCTTGATTTCTTGATATTTTAAAAAATATTTAACATTTGTTTTGTAAAAGCAATAATAAAATTAGCCTATTTTAAAGGAATCGTATTTAAAAAAATAAACCTCATTCTCAAAGTTACTATTATGGTTATGGTATATTGCCTTAAGAAAAAGATTAATGGTAAAAATCAATTAAAATATGTAATATTGGCTTTACCTTGAAATGTTTCCAAGGGATATTTTAAGAAACCATTGAATATCAAATTGTTTGACTTCTGAATATGTTTCTTTGAAACACAATAACAGTTAAATAGAAAGTTGAAAGGTATAAGACATGCAATTTTGCCATTACAATGTGGTGGAAAGCAGAAATATCCTGACCAAAGTTAAATGAAAATGCAAAATTAAATGGCAATACATTTGCTTGGCATCACTTTTTAAAAATAAATGGGGCAAGCAGTGCTTCTCCACACACATAATATTAGAAATCAAATTTTGGATTAAATTTTCCATTTTGAAGATGGCAATTGGCAACAAATATCTTTCTGAAAAGTATATCATTTCAGAGAGTGGCAGAATGATGACTATAAAAACTATTTTTATCTTGCTTTAATGTAGGCCTAACATAAGACCTTTATTGTGCTCACATTAAGCATTTTATTTAGACATTAAGCAGAAGTTTTCTAATATCGTATATTTACGAAAGTGGAATAAAAGCTTGTTTGCCAATTATTTGGATGAGGCTTTCTTGTGCCAATGTCATAATAGATCTTTTTCTAGTGTGCTAACTTCTGAATTGCAAATTTTTAGGAGGTGTCTTAGCTATAATTCACAGTTGTGCTGAACTAAATGAATACAGTCACTTTTCAGCAAGTAAAGCACTTACAGCTGCTATTGAACAAAAATACAAGGTATTGTTTGATTATGTTAAAATTGATCACTGTTACTTATTTTCTGGAGCTACCAGCTTAAATGACTATTTGTTACTCTTAAGGGTCATGAATAATAAGAGAGAATTTCAGACTATTATGAATGTGCAGGGTAAAGACTAAATATACCGATACAAGTGGAAACCACCTTTAACATGGGTTCTCAGCATTTTTTTTTAATGTGGAGTAAACAAAGTTAAAATCACCTTGGTAACTGCATGAATCTGAGTCCCTGCAGTGTTCTGTAATGTCTAATGACTTATTGCAAGTACATGCACATGAAAATATTTTTGTTGTGTGACGTTCAGAGATAATTTTAGGACATCAGGCCATGATCAGTATATTAAATACTTATAACTTGAATTTTGTTCTTACATCTAAAGAAATCACAATTTAATAAATGATACTTATGGCATTTCCCTGTTGCACTTCAATCAACATCGTAGGCAACAGAAAGACAGTCTATTACTTGATGATCCTTCTTCAGTTTATATAATTTCTTGAGGGGTCACAAATAAAATGTCACTAGTGAACCAAGAGAATAATTCAAAAATTAAAAGTTCGCAATGTTATCTAGAAGTCACTCATAAGAGATAATTATGATGTCTTATGTTTAAGTTAAATCCATGGCAGAAGTTCACAGTGAGGTAAATTTTGTTTAAAATAAGTTAGTGCCAGCCTTTTCTGGCAATATGCTGAAAAGGATGTTCAGAGAATCTTATCCCAGTTAAATATATCTGAAAATTTTACATTCAACACACATGCATGCGCGCGCGCGCACACACACACACACACACACACACACACACACACACACACAAAACCACTTTTTAAAATGTAGGGAACTATAAAAGGGTGAATCCACAAAAGTCAGGGAGTACTAGAGTTGATATTTTCTTTGGTGTATCTGCAACTCTACCGTGGCCTGGATGGAGTCTTGATTTTTAAGGGCTACATGTGGGAATCATGAGACAAAGGTTAAGGTGAAAACCCTCATAACCCATGTGGGTCTGAGCCCACAATTCATATTATACCTGAGGCCTCAAAAACCCTACTGTAATTATTTAGTTGAAAGTGGTGCTAACAGCTCTGGCAGATACAAATGTAAATCTTGTCTGGAAGAAATTACATATGAGAATTTCTAATAATGACAAACTATAAAAATTACAAATAAATGGCCTAGTCAGTCAGCAAATTAAAGACTATTGAAGAGAGACATAGTTAGAAAAAAGGAGCATTTGGAAAAAAAATCAGAATTCAACACAGAAACACAAAGAAATTAATAAATATAAAACAGAGATAAAAGACTTAAGGAGATAGACTAAAATGATCTAAATATATTTAATCTGGATTCCAAAGGAGGAAATAGAAAAATGGAGGAGTGATAATATCAAAAAGATAAAACGTGAGAAATTTCCAGAAACAGGGAAAGACACCAATTCTCAGATTCAATAGCCTAATTAATCCCAATTGTGTTTGTGAGTGTTTGTGCTTATATGTGTGTTTGGGAGTGAAACTGCAAAACACCAAAATCAAAGAGAAAATATTTTTTTTAAACTATAAAGAAAATATGGAAAGAAAGAACAGTTAGATTGAAATCCAATAAAAGCCACAATGCAAACCAAAGAGCAGTGGAATCATACTGCCAAAGATAAATTATCAATTTCAAATTCTATATCCAGTGAGACTACATTTCAAGAACAAGGGTAAAATAAAAATATTTTCAGACAAACTAAAATAAAGACAATATGCCACCAATATACCTTCACTAAAAGCACATTTAAAGAACATCCTCAATAAAGAAAGAAAAAGTGTGAAATTCAAAAACCATGTTGAGAAAAAAATTGGTGAACATGATGCTTAATCTAGTCTAAACGAACATGAAATAAACAACAGAACCGATATGGAATTTGTACTATATATAAAGATGAAAGTAAAGCCATGGAAAATAAGAGCGTGTAAGTGGCAGGGGACTGATTCCCTCTTTACCAGATACCTGATAACAATACTCTATTTCCTGTGTTTCAAGATCTTCCTTCACAACTCCTTTGCCCCCACTTTTATGTAGCATTCCTCTGCACATTGTCCCTCAGGTGTCTTACCACCCTCACAAATCCAAATAGCTGCTTGTTCCCTGTAGCTCCCAACCGAGATGTCTAGCTCAGTCTTCCACCCAGAATTTCAATTCAAGATTAACAAGTGATGGTTGGAAATTTTCTCAGCCAAAATATCAAATGGGGAACATTTCAAATCAAAGACATATGGCCCTCCCAGTTATGTTTTTCTTTCTCATTTCCCTGCTTCTGTGTGCATTACAACAGCTTTCATATTTATCTGGTTTGGAAACATCAGTGAAAGCTTTGACTCTATGAACCAAATTCTGTACTCAAGTTTTGGTAATACGTGACACTGATCGTCACTTTACTTTTCATTGTTGAGACAGAACAATGACAGTAATATCCTAACTCCACTCATACTTCTTCCCCGTGCCTTACCCAATTACCACCTCTGCTTTAAGCCATCCTATTTACCACCAACAAAGTTATAAGACTAAACCATTGCTTGGATCACGGCGGCATGCTATCAGAAAAGTATCAAAGCCTGAAAAACGTCTATGAATTAAAGTCTCAGGTTCTTGTTCTGGCATTTACATTCCTTTACCATTTGGCCTCGCTTACATTAAAGGGAGTGCCCTCAGGGAAAGGATTTCATTGAAGTGGACTGTGCAGCGGGGCCACTGCCCTGACTTGCCAATATCAAACTCACCACAGTTGTAGCTCCAGCAGAAGGCAATAGAGAAGGGCCAGCTGTGGGTTTTTAACCTAGTAGCCACGAACATCCAGAAGGCCAATGTATAGAATTTAAGGGGTTGGGAAAGGCTAAAGAATTGGATCAAAAAATAAAATTTGTGTTTTCACTAAATTCTAACTGAAATGCTTTATTTCCTTCAAATCTGAATGTGGGCAATGAATCCCAAGAGTGGTAAGCATCAATGACTATGTCACCAGTAAACATCAGAAGTATTTTTATCATGTAACAGTAGTGTCATATGTATTGAGATATGCATTACTGTTTCAATATTGTAGAAATTATAAGACTTTTTACTGCATATTGTTTTCCAATGTGTTAAGGTGTGCATATATTCCTATGTCACACGTGCATTTCATTTTTATTTTGACATTATTTCAAAATTATTGGTTTCCTTTGCTATCTTATGTATTTTTATTTATATAAAAGTAGTTTATTAATATTCTGATAAACATATGTCTATAAATAGATAGATGGATATTTAGGCTGCGAAACAGGTCTGAGTCAGAAAATAGCTCAAAACTGCTACACTGTACCTAGTGTGCTATGGAAGTAGGTAACTGATAACACAGGAAAGTGGTTCTGGAGGTAGACCTACAAGTTTAAACACATATCTGCTTGTTGTTATTAACTTTTTTTTTTTTTTGCTGGGCATGGTGGCTCAGGTCTGTAATCCCAGCACTTTGGGAGGCTGATGCGGCAGGATCCCTTGAGCTCAGGAGTTTGAGACCAGCCTGGGCAACATAGTGAGACCCTGTATGTATCAAAAATACAAAAAAAAAAAAAAAAAACCTTAGTCGAGTGGGGTGGCATGTGCCTCTAGTCCCAGCTCCTTGGAGACTTAGACTGAAGGATTGCTAGAGCCCACGAGACTGAGGCTACAGTGGGACATGATTGTGCCACTACACTCCAGCCTAGGTGAAAGAGTGACACCCTGTCTCAAAACAAAATTGTTCTTTTTAAAGGTATATTATGCCCTTAGAGTAGCAGCTGGAGAACATCAGGCTGATTAGTGTGGCATCCTCCCATGGAATTTAAAATTCTCATGCCAGAGGCACACAATTTAGACATATGGGTTCCATCTAGATTATTAAAAAGCAACTAGAACAAATTATTAGAAAATGATATGCAGGTTATACCAAATTATACAAACTTTAATTCTTACATGTGCAAATTAATTTTCTTACTATTGCATTAGGAGTTTCTGTATTATAAACATCCATATTTTGTAACCTCTCTAAATTATGTTTATGAATCATACTATGTTATTGCAATCAAACTAAATTTAAGAATTGTTGTTACTAATTTACAAGTTAATCAATTAGGCCTAATCATCTTCATGTAAATATTAGTCTTATGCAAAACAAACTTCTTCCTAAGCAAAATAAAAATGATTTTCCATATTTTACTACTTCATGTAAACTAAAGACCATAGTACTACATTTCTGCAGTTTGTTACACACTAATTTTGTAATAATCAACAGTCATATTATCTCTTCAAGTTATAATTTTTATGCAGATCAGAGAGGTCATTTTATGGTTATTAAGGAAAGAATCTTGACTTTCATTATGTCTTAAAGCACGACATCATTAACAAATTGTTTCTGCCATGGCCTTAAGAAAAATAGACTTCACACATAGTATGTTTCCTTGCTTGTTTTGTTTTGCTTCTTTTGTCAGTAATATAATGCTATATTTGTGAAATCGGAGTCCATAGTTTCATGTCTAGGTCATCTTATTTAATACTTTTTTTCATTTTGTGAAATATGTTGGCAAAAAAGACAATTTTAATCTCAAAATATAACTGGGTTTTTTTATCCTTGTTTTAATTCTCTTTAATTTAATGGTATCACCTTCCTTACGATTGCTCAGTACTATTGCCATTTGTGCCTCTTTTTTCTCCTTCATCTCCTCATACCCAATCATCATTAAATGTACCTGTGATGGATATTGTCAGGCACCAACCAGGAACTATTCCCCCAGGGGCTGGGGTCTTGTGGGAACATGGCATTCAGCTGTCAACCTTCTCTCAGTGTTTCCTCAGCTCAAGAACACTGCCTCTCCCAAGATCGTGAGTCCTCCCAAACCTAATCAACTTCCAATGACTGTCAGGGGTATAAAGGATTGACTCATTTGCCCCGACTCAGGATAATTCTGAAGGGTCGTCTAGCTATAGCATTCCCCATAGGGTCAGCTGAGGTCTCTGTTAGGACTGCATCACAGCTCAACATCTCCCTTTCCCAATTGTATTTCACCCTTCTCCCTGTCCCATCCATACACACGCTAGTTGATACTAATAGCAGTTCCTAATAAATATTTTGCTTGCTAAACTCCATCTTCGAGACTGCTCCCCAGGGAGCATAAAATGTGATAGAATGGTTCTACCTTTTTATTTCTCTTGAAACTGCCTACCTATTTTTTATTGGTGAAGTTTAGCCTACCATTAACTTTTTTCTTTTTTTTCTTTTTTTTTTTTTTTTTTGAGATGGTGTCTCTCTCTTGTCACCCAGGCCGGAGTGCAATGGCACAATCTCAGCTCACTGCAACCTCCACCTCGCAGAATCGCTTGGGCTCAAGTGATTCTCGTACCTCAGCCTCCCAAGTAGCTGGGATTACAGGCACACGCCACCACACCCAGCTAATTTTTGTATTTTCAGTGGAGAGTTTTGCCAGGTTGGCCAGGCTAGTCTTGAACTCTTGACCTCAGGTGATCTGCCTGCCTCAGCCTCCCAAAGTGCTGGGATTACAGGTGCTACCATTAACTTTCATTTCCACTGGCCATTCTTAACTTTCATTCCACGCCAAATGGGCTTTCAAATAAATGTTCCTCCTACAGACACATATGAATTTTGATTGGCACTTCTTGAAAGCACACATTGCAACATCACCCTTTTTTTAAAATTTCCCCCACCTATCCAAATACCGTGATAATCACTAAAGCATATGCTGTTCACAGCCTGTATCTCCTCCATAGATGATTAGATGATTCGCATGCTTACAAATGTTTTCTTGCATCTCTCTGCCTGAAGCTATTTTTTTTTTTTTTTTTGGTCATGGGAGCATACTTAGCCTGTTGATACCAGAAATATGTGGAAGATATAATAAAGTGTGTCCTAAGATAACTTTCCAAATAAACTATTTGCACTAAAATTCTTGTGTCAGAGTGTACTTTATGGGGAACCCAAATTAAGGTGCTTACATTGATAACTGATGATCTAGAACAGGGGTCAACGGGCCTGCGTGTCATGTCTGGCCTACCAACTTTTTTTTTTTTTTTTTTTTTTGGAAATCAAGTTTTATTGAAACAGGGCCACTCATGTTCATTTAGGTACTGTCTATGGCTGCTTTCATGCTATGAAAGCACAGTTCAGTAGTTGTAACAGAGACCATATGGCTCACAAGCATAAAATATTTACCATCTGGACCTTTACCAAAAAATTATTGTTACCTGATCTAAATTATTACCAAAAGCGCCTAAATAATTTCCCAGATTTAGATGTCTTATCTCTCCCCACCCATCTGTTTTATATATTACCTCCAGATTTTTTCCCTAAAAATTGTTTGATCTATGCCTCTTGCTTCCTCAGAAATAGTCAATGACTCCCACTACAATAAAAAGTAAAAGAAAATTCTGCCCTGCAAAATCTGCCTGTATTTCTAACCGTATGTCACTCTGCATTCCCCACCATATACACACACTCCAAACACACCCATCTATTCATTATTTACAGAAACTGTCTTCTCTGTGTTTTCGATAAGGTTGTTTTCTCTGCCGAAATGTCCTCTCCAAGCATAATAACTTATAAATTCCAGCTCATCCTTCAAGGTCCAAATAAAACCAAATATCTCTTAGGAATCCCTCTCAGACCCCTACTGTTGGCATTAATCTCCTCATCATGCTACCCAGCACCGTGTTCACATTTTTATTACATCAGAGTGTACCCTGTATTGAGATAATTTATGAATATCTATTTCCACAACCAGATACAAACTCCTGGAAGGAAGGAGCCATATCATATCCATCTTTGTATCCAGAGGTAACACAAAATTAACAAGCATAGATTAGAGCTCTCACTTATCGGAAAGACTGAGGTCCTGAGGCCTCCTGAGATATTAACCCTTTAGGTGCTGCTGGATTGTTTGGAGGCCCATGGAGTCCTTGGGGAAGGGTTGCAGTGGTTAGACTGGCAAAAGTTACACTATAGTAAAAACAACTATTACAATATTTTAACAAATAGAGCATAAATGTTTGAATGCCAGCCTTATTAATTACTATGCTTTTCAAAGTTTTCCTAATTATACGCTTTCAGTAAATAATTGTTGTATATATAAGAATATAATTTAGAATGAACACCGTTTTCAGCGACACCACAGACACATACACATAAACATACACAAATGTGGAAATATAGATACACATCTTCGACCAGAACAAATAGGGAATTACATGAGTGAAAATTTTATAGTCTAGTTTTCCTTATTATTTCTGATTAGTTAACAGATTAAGCTGTAATTGTTAAAAAAAACAATTACACTTACAGTGTTTTCAAACATTGCACAAGTCTTCCTATAGTAATATCAATAAAAATGAAATTAGCCTTTCCTTGGCTAATTCAATTTTTCCAGAGCATAATGGCAACATTATTTCAATTCTAAGGGACCACTCTGGACAGAGCTGTCATGATCATATCTTGCAAATATTTTGCAAATTAATGAGGCTTGCAAAACCTCTAATGTAAATGTAACCAGCAACATTTACTCTAATCTACTCTCACTTTGCAATGCACCCTGACTTGCCCTTACTTCCCAAAATTTATTTTAAAATCTGCCATACAAAAATGGTTTAAAAGCACTTATCTTATTGTAAATATGTCTTGAAATGCACGGTCTAACAAATGTTGAGAAAAACAATCCAAAAAAGTTTACACAGAAGAAAAGCTTATGAAATCTAATTATTTTATTCTTCTGTTTATTTCAATGACTCCTGGTCCAGGAGCTTTTTTTAAGGTTGTCATAAGCATTCCTAATTTAACAATGTTCTACACTTCATTGTGCCTCTTATGGAATAAGCTTGCTAGAGCTAAAATCTACCAACTTTGTAAAGCAAAAATATTGAAAATAACTTGAAGATTTCAGAAGATTTTGTAACTATTATGACATTTAAAGTCAAGCACAATAGAAGCTGAGGAGTGAGCTGGTGGGCTACTTCAATCACTGTAGGTTCTGTTATAGTGGCAATGAACAATGGAGTTAAGTAGAGCTTCAACTTTATGACAAGTTTATGCCTTTCTAAGGTTTTCTTTCTGCTTGCTATTAACATCTGGATTCAGTTTACTATGCACTTCCTTCTTTACTAAGGTTCTCTACACCTTTCATGCTAGGTATGGACCTTTCTGTCAAAGAATATTTGGTTCTCCCATTCAGTTCTCATTGAGAACCTATTCAGTTCCTCAATTCTCTAATATCTTCCAGCTCATCACATTCATCATGCCATATTTACTGTGTTCAACCTTACTCATCATATATTCCTTGTCAAAGATCAGTTGGCTTTATTTCCAGGTTCTCTATTCTGTTTCATTGGTCTACATGCCTTTTTGCATTTCAGTACCATGCTGTTTTGGTAGCTACAGCCTTGTAGTATAATTTGAAGTCAGGTAATGTGATGCCTCTAGATTTGTTCTTTGTGCTTAGTACTGCTTTAGCTCTATGGGACCTTTTTTTGATACCATATAAATTTTTGGATCATTCTTTCTAGTTCTGTGAAGAATGATGATATTTTGATGAGAATTGCCTTGAATCTTCAGATTGCTCTGGGCAGTATGGTCATTTTTGCAATATTGATTCTACCCATCTATGAGCATGGGATGTGTTTCCATTTGTTTGTGTCATCTATAATTTCCTTCAACAATATGTTGTAGTTTTCCTTGTAGAGATCTTTCACCTCCTTGGCTAAGGATATGCCTGAGCATTTTATTATTTTTTGCAGCTGTTGTACAAGAGACCGAGTTCTTGATTTGAGTCTCATTTTGGTCGTTGTTGATGTACATTGATTGTGTTCTGATACTTTACTGAATTTCATTTATCAAGTCTAGGAGTTTTTCGGATAAGTCTTTAGGGTTTTCTAGTTCTATGATCATATCATTGGCAAACAGCAACAGTTTGACTTCCTCTTTACCAATTTGAATGCCCTTTATTACTTTCTCTTGTCTGATTGCTCTGGCTAGGACTTCCAGAACTATGTTGAATAGAAGCGGTGAAAGTGGGCATTCTTGTTTTGTCCCAGTTCTCAGGGGGAATGCTAACATTTCCCCATTCAGTATGATGCTGGCTGTGAGTTCATCATAGATGGCTTTTATTAATTGGAGATGTATCTCTTCTATGCCAATTTGTTGAGGGTTTTTGTCATAAAGTGTTGCTGGATTTTATAAAATGCTTTTGCTGCATCTATCGAGATGATCATATGTTTTTAATTTTGTTTATGTGGTGTACCACATTTACTGACTTGCATATGTTAAACCATCCCTGCACCTCTGGTATAAAACCCAATTGATCATGATGTATTATCTTTTTAAAAGTTGCATATATCTTAATAAGTTGTTTTATTTATTGTTTCTAATAGCTTTGTCTGTTAGTCTTCTAAGCAAATATATAATTTATGCTGCATAAAATATCGTTATAACAATTATGTTACCATCCTATTTCAGTTTAAAGGACTCATTTTAATATTTGTATAGGACTCATACATTCCTTCAGAATTTTTTGTCGGAGGGAGGGTCTGGAAAGTCTTTATCTCTCTTCATTTCTGAAGGATTTGCTACAGTGACAGATTGCTTTTACTTTTTCTTCAGCATCCTGAATATATCATCTCACTCCTTTTCAGTCTGTAAGATTTCTACTGAGAAGTCTACTGCCAGATGTATTGGATTTCCCATGTGTTATTTGTTTCTTCCTTTCATTGCTTTCAGGATCCTTTTTTTGTCTTTGAGTCATATTTTTGAGAGTATCACTATACCATGCCTTGGGGTATTCTTATTTGGGTTGAATCTAATTGGTGACCTTTGACTTCCCTATACCTGGATACTTATATCTTTCTCGAGGTTTAAAAAGTTTTCGGTTATTTCTTTGAATAAGCTTTCTATTCTCCTTTGTCTTTCTCAGTTCCCCCTTTAACTCCAGTTACCCAAATATTTGCTCTTTTGTTGTACAATAGATCCCATAAGCTCTGTTTCTTTCTTTTAATTTTTCTTTCTTTATTCTTCTCTATGTATTTTCAAATATTCGATCTTTGAGTACAGTGATTTTTTCTTCTGTTTGATCAATTCTACTATTGATGCTGTCTATTGCATTTTTATTACAGTCACTGTACTTTTCAGCTCCATGATTTGTTTTTTTAAATTACTTGAATCTCTCCACAATTAATAATTGAATTATTTAATTCTATGATAAATTTCTGAATTTATTAAGAATGCTTTCTTGAAGTTCATTGAGCTTCCTTAAAACAGCTATTTTGAATTTTTTTTTATCTGAGATATTGCATATCTCCATCACTTTAGAGTTGCTCTCTGCCACCTTATTTTGTTTGGTGGTCATATTTCCTTGTATGTTCTTGATGCTTGTGGCCATGCAATGAAGTCTACGCATTAAAGGATTAGGTGTTTAGTCATCACAGTCTGGCTTTGTTTGTGCCTATTTTTCTTCAGAGGGTCTTCCAGGGACTCAAAGCAGATTGATGAGTTCCTTGAGCCTGTGACTGCTATAGCCATCTCAGCATTAGAGGATACTCTGAGCCCAGGCTAATCACAATTCTCACAAGAACTCCATGGTTGACAAAGATTTTCAACCCAGATGGACCTGGGGAAGGTCTAAGAAGGGCACTGGGGCTGTGTGGGAATGCTGGCCAGGGATATGAGTTCAAAAGAAACACAGTGGCCCAGACAAGGGTGCCTCCCAAAAGGTCTCTGCACAGGTAGAATTGGTCCCCAACTTCAGCAAGAGAGGCTTTAGTTGAGACTGGGACCTCTCAGGATCTGCTGTGAGAAGGAGGCTTGTGGACCTTTCTCATTGGCTCAGATGAGCTTGCATCACCCATCAGGTCTTTGCACAAGTGGGGTAGTTCTTCAACTGCAGCAGGTTGAGCCAGAGCTGAGACTTGTGCTCTTCAGAATCTACTGTAGGAAAGAGGTTGGTGTGCCTATCACTTTGGCTAAGATGGGTGCATGTCTCCCAGCAGGTCCCCGAACAAATGAGATAGTTCTTTGACTGCAGCAAGAGAGGCCAATCCTAAGACTACCCTCCCTTGGGATCTTCTGTAGGGCAGAATCTGGAGAGCCCTATCTCATTGGTTAAGAGGGGCATGCATCTCCCAACGTGTCCTTGAGCAGAAGGGATAGTTTGCTGATTGCAGCAGGAAGGGCTAGAGCTAGTGTCTCTCAGGATCTGCTGTGGGTTGGAGGTTAGAAGAGCCCATCTTGCTGATCTAGGCAAGAACACATCTCCCAGCAGGTCTCAGGACAGACAAGATAGTTCCCCAATTGCAGTGAGGGGGCCAGAGCCGAGACTGGGACCCCTCAGGATCTGATGTGGAATGGGGAATGGAAAGCCAAGTCTTGTTGTCTCAGAGGGGCATGCATCTCCCAAGTGGACCCTGCACAAATGGGATAGGTCCCCAATTAAAGCAGGAGAAGCTGGGGCCAAGATTGTGTCCCCAAGGGATCTGCTGTGGGACAGAAGTTGGCAAGATTATCAAGGAAGCTCAGACTCCAGAGCTGCGAGATATGGGAAAGTCTCCCTTTGTGTCCTTGTGTGAACCAGTCAAGTCTGACTGGGTACTTCAGCTGAGCGGGACTGAAGCTGAGCTATGGGTCAACTTTCAGGTTCGCTGCTGAGACCAATGTCAACAGACAGATAAGCCTTTCCACACACAAGGCATGAGTGTGCACAATTCCATCTGAACATTTAGAAAATGGTTTTAGTTGCAGGCTCGAGACCAAACAGGTGATGTAGCCAAGCTTCTTGAAGGATTGGTACTTTTCTGGGCTTGAATCCTGGAGCAAAGTCAGTGGATCAGACACCTGTATATTGGTCTATACTCTCAACACAGCCCTCCAAGATTTTGGACCCCATGAAGGTTTCACAAACTCATACCTGAAAATTGATGCTCCCACAGAGAGAATTTTGACTGTGGATGGGCATAGAATTCTTATTGTTGTGAGAAGATATGAGTGGATTAATGTCTACTCTGCCATCTTGGTGACATCACTCTAATACTTTACAATGTTAGCTATTACTTTAAGTGTTTTTTAAGTTTGTGTTTGGCTGTAGTAATGTGGTAATATGGACTTGTAGTAATGTGGTAATATGGATACTACACAAGCTTAATATATGGAATATGAAAACAAATTATTACTTTCTTAGTAATTTAAAAAAATGCTTCTTTTAGTCAAGTAGAGCTAAAAGTGGAACCCAGTCTTTTAATGCATATTCCTGTGTATTTTGTACCTTTTTCCATCCCAGCAACACCATCAGCAGAAAAATGGAGGGAAAGGTCAGCAGTAAAATGATGTGCATACTATGAACCACAACATAAAGACCAAAACCATCCTTCAACATGCATAAAAAGTCATAGGAACAAAGAGTGAAAAATAAGTAGAAAAATTTAGTGCCAATTAAGATGTTGAAAAACAAGTTCACAGATATAAATAGTTTCAGTATATTCAGTAGATAGAAATAATTCAAAATAATGTAGGAGTACTCAATGTGTTAAATTAAAGGAAATGATTATGTAAATTTAAGTTTCCATAATCCCCAATTGAGCCAGATACATGAACAATTGTGCAATATTCAGATATACAAATGGCACCTCAGACTTACTTTATAATTTTACTGAAGAATGGTATTTTACTATACTTATATGCATATACCAGGGTCTTACATCTGTAATAACAATTTCTATACTGAACATTATGTTTCTGGATATTTTAATGTACGTGTTACATTTTGACTTAATTTTTTTCAGTTAGACTTTAATTTGCTTGGGATACTGTCCTATACATGGCTCAATACTCCAATTTCCTATATCAGGTAACTTATAAGAATAGTTCAGGTTTCCTAGTACAGAGGAAGCATTCAGTAAATTGAACAGATTTCCTAAGTTTACTACTGCATTCAATTAATGAGGAAAAATAACTTTCACACATGATAGTCATAAAACTAACACATGATATAGATTCTCATATAATTACACAATTTTAAACAATTTTCAAAATGTAAGACTGGATTTCCAAAAACTGTTAACAGTTTGTTTAAATTCTGCTGTCTCCTTGTATTCTGAAAAATTGCTAGAAGTGTAGATTTTAAGTGTTCTTACCACAAAAAATGATAATTATATATGTAAAGTTATATATATATTAATTAGCTTGATTTAGCCATTCCACAATGAATACATTCTTCAAAACATGTTGTACATGATAAATATATAACATTTGTATTTGACAATTAAAATAAGTAAATTAGTAAAAATGTTATCAAGTATATTCGAATTTAAAAAATTCTATAATCTTCTTTGTTAGGAGCCTTACCTCCTCCTTTAGCTACCTCTACTTACACCTTTGCTATCTTCATGCTGACTCTACCTATGCTCATGGATAATATCTCATGCTCTGAGCTTTTTTGACTCTATTAAAGGTTACCAGACTTTGGTCTCAATTCCTAAGGCTTTTTCTAGATTATATATTCAATTATTTATTTCATTACTCAAAGTAGTTAACCCACTAACCTTTCTGAATGCCAGCAATGCATTAATCCACATAAAAGACAGGCATTTTAAGATCTATTGAAGCCAGATGGAGATAGGCTTCTAGAAAGACACTTCAGCAACACTGACGTAACGCCATATAAGCAGCTATCTACTTAAAAGCAGCTGTAAAGATAATGGCTGGAAGGAAGAAACTTAGTCAATATTTCCACTGGCAATTTCCATTTAGGTACTGGAGCATGAGCATTCCTGAAAAACATTTGTTATATTTCTTTATTAAACTTTAAGATAAAAATTTGCAGCTATTATTGGAATATTCTGAGTCAGCTCAACCATTGATACTTGGGGGAAAACCACTCTGTAAAACTAAGACTAAGAGACAGTAAGTATATTATTTCAAATCATTTAACTCTCCAAAGTTAGTGCTTTAAAATCTTTACATTAAATCAAGTACAGCATAGTATTATTTCTCGTATGCTTAGGCCATTTCTTTTTACTCGGATGAATTAATAATAACAGCAACAACGATAACAAATTTAATAATAATTTATCATATGCCGGAAACTGGCTTAAAGGTGTTAAACATATCATCACACAGCCTTCATTGAACAATACCTGTCTCAAAATAAAGAAATTGAGGTCTAAAGTAATTAAATAACTCATCCTATGTGAGGAGGCTGATGAGCATTGGTGCTAGGGTTTGAATCTTTGCTTATTTATGCTATAGTTTACTCTCTGAGAAGCAAAAGGAAACTTCCTGCTGCCAGTTTTTATGAAGTTTTCTTCTTGTTTGCTCTCTCATTACATTATAAATATGATCCAAAGTTAAAATGAGAACAATTGCATTACTAATATTTCTACCTTATTAGGTTTCAGACATTAGGTTCAACTATATTTGAAATAAGTTATTTTGTTTTTTCATAAGGTCAAGATTAATTACCAGTTAATTTAAAAATTATTACTTTATCTACTTTTGTCAAGCAAACTGTTATACCTATTGGGAGATACATGTACCATTTTTTTGGACATAATTGCAATTAAACAAGTTACCTTTAAGCAACATTCATGAGTATATTTTCAGTATATTTTCCTGTATTCAATTTTGTCCAAATAGAGAAATATAGGAAACATTGAACATCAGTGCCACACTAAAATTCAGCTTTAATATGTGGATTTCATTTTGTAGAATACATTTTTGTTGTTACGAAATTTATCGTGCTGTGGTATTGTCCTCTGTTCAAAAATGAGGTTTTTAGGGTTGCTTATTGCATAATGTATATTAATTCTTCATTCTAAAGTAAAATCACACAATGAGATCAAACGTTTTGAGTTCATAATATGCAATGAATAATTGTAAAATAAATCTATACTTTAGTATTAAGGCAAAACTAAATGTTTGCCACGAATGACTTAATACAAGGACATCTATGCATTGTGCATTTCTTAGCAACAAAGGCTATGAATGGGTAAAGGTAAAGTTTGAATGTATCCCTATCATAACATGGGGAAAACTGTATGCAACTAGGCATGGGAGTGGATTCAGTAGATTCCCAAGATAGTGCTGAGAACAGCTGACGTTTACAGCTACAAATATCGCTGTGAGACTGCTAGCTTAAAACAAACATCACTTGGGTGTTGGAGAGGAGAGGGGTGTTTATAATCTGTAGTCTATATTTTAAAATGTGGGTTTCTAAAAAAGGATATGTGAGTGTCTGAATATCTTTTAAGATAAATAAGAAGGCAAGAAGTCATAAGGCTAAGCAGTGAGTAAAAAAAAAATTGGGACAATGCAGGGTAGTCACAAGATATTAGGAAGAATCAATAGAAGTGGACACACTTGGTTTCAATTCTGGCACTGCCAATTATGTCCTACTTAGCCTTAAGCAAGTTTACTAAATCTCCGAGATCCAGTTTCTTTCTGTGTAAAATGACATTAACAATTTCTTCATCTGGAGAAACCTAGGGATTAAATGAAATTTGAGAGAGAAAGGGAAAAAGAGAAAGACTTAAAAGACATGTCAAATAGACAAAACCTATCAATCTTATTTAGATCCTTATCCAAACAAAGATGCTTAGACACAGCAAACACACACACACACACACACACACACACACACACACACACTAACAGAAAATCAGAGAAATATGAATACCACCTGAATATTTGATGATACTAAGGAATAATTATAGAATATCTTTAATTTTGATGGTATCATGGCCTTGTCAAAATAAAAGGATGATTCTTTTTAGAGACAGTAAACAATGAATAAAACCATGTGATGATTGGGATTCATATCAAAATAATCCTGATATTTGATTATTTTAGCCCTGTACCATTGAAGGTAGGTGAAGGGCATAGAGAGAATGATACTATAATTTTATCTCTGTGAGTGTATATACTTTATATCTTCCTAATGAAAAGGTTTAAAAATCTATATAATCATGGGAAATATTTCTTAATCCTTGATAATCCTTGTTATAGACTGAATTATGTCCCCCCCAAAATATATATGTTGAACTTCTAACCTCCACTGCTTCAAAATATGACTGTATTTGGCAATAGCGCCTTTAAGGAGGTAACTAAGGTAAAATGAGGTCATATGAGTGAGCCCTAAACCAATATAAATGGTGTCCTTATAAAAAAAAACAAAAAAAAAGGAGATTAGAGCACACAAAGGGAAGACTGTCAGGACACAGCCTGAAGGTAGCCATCTTCAAGCCAAGGAAAGGGGCCTGAGAAAAAATCAAATCTGCCAACACTTTGAGTGGGTTTGAATTTCTAGCCTCCAGAATTGTGAGAAAATAAATTTTTGTTGTTTAAGTCACTCAAAAGTAAAGAAAACTATGCCACCAAGTCAGGGATGCTAACAACTGTCAAGCAAAGACAAATGTGGACTTAGGTAAAGAGAACATTTATTCAAGAAAAGTATCTTTCTCTCTATGCCCTTCACCTACCTTCAAAGGTACAGGGCTAAAATAATCAAATATCAGCATTATTTTGATATGAATCCCAATCATCACATGGTTTTATTCATAGTTTACTGTCTCTAAAACAAAAGAATCATCCTTTTATTTTGACAAGCAGTGAGTAAAAACATAAAAATTGGGACAAAAAAAGTATTTTAAAAGAGTATTAAAATCACTCCAAAGTAAGGAAAACTACCCACCAAGTCAGGGATGCTAACTGTCAAGCAAAAACAAATGTAGACTTAGGTAAACAGAAAACTTATTCAAGAAAAGTATTAAAATAAGGAGAATGTTCTGATGTTAAAATCTGCATGCATCTAAATATCAGACTGAAAAATGCTTTTCTTTTATAGGAAGGAGTAAGCAGAGATAGCAGGAATTTAAGAAGGGAAATTGAGTGAATGAGTAGAAGCAAGCAGACAGCAGGATCAGGGCTGTCGGTTTCTCACTGTGGCGAGCCAATTCTCAGGATGAGCTTTTAACAGGCAGTGTTCTGCAGTGTTAACATTTGCTCAGATTTGGAGGCAAGCCAGAGTTCAGAAGCCTGTGTAAAGGAGAGAAATTTGACTAAAGGTTGGTCAAGTGAAGGCAGAGGATAAGTAATGGGCAATTGTGAACACCTGGTCACAATCTTATCAGGTAATACTGAATTTATTAAAGGTCTAATCTATATCTTAATAATGGAGATTAGAAATGATGCAGTGAGGACTACATGAGATAACATACATTAGGAACTTAATCCTTTGCCTAGCATTTACCAGGCACTTAAAAGATGCATTTAAATGGAGAGGGAACACTCTTTGAGAGCAGTTGATTGTGATCCCAAAGTTTCATGTGCATACAAATCACCTGGAGATCTTGTGAAAATGCAGATTTTTACTCAAGAGTTTATGAAAGGAAATAGAATCTGGGGACTTCAAACTCACTATGCCTAAGGGAAAGTTAAGCTTGAGAAGTGAATCACACAACAAACTGCCTTCCTTTTGTTCCCAGATAGCTGTAATTTCACAAGCCTGTGTCATAGGCTCAAACCTAAGCCAGTTCCCCTCAATAATAGAAGGCCACTTATCTCCCCAGAAGGCTTCCCTCACAAAATTCAAGAGGAAATTACTTGTTGGCCCCTAAATCTTTCAGGAAAACTGAGTTCTGTTCAATCTCATCCTGACAATATTAATTACAAGCTAATCTTCACAGGTATGGGACAAGGATAAGGCCAGAAATATCCCTCTCTCTACCCCCAGACAAATGAATAATTGACTTTTTCTCTACTCCCTCTTTTCACATGTAAAATGTAGATTCACTGAGCGCTAATCAGAGCCTCATGGCTTAAATGTAAACACTTGCCTCATGGCCTATCCTCCTACCTCTTTTTTCCTCCCCTTCTGCTTGCTCTTTCCCCTTTAAATATTGAAGTTCGAAAAATGCTCTTAAGTAAAACCACAGGTCACAGACCCTTCCGTGACTTCTGTTTCTTTTTCCTGGGTGCATCCTCAACCTTGGCTAAATAAACCTCTAATTGAGACCTACCTCAGTAATTTTTTGGTGTACAAGGTCTAGGATGGAACCCAGACTTGAGAAGACCAATAAAACTGAGGGCTAAAAATTTGGGGTTTAGTTACATAGTGTAGAATCTTTTCTTTTTTTTTAATCTAGCTAATGCAGGACATAATGGAGAATCTCACAACTGAATTGGATTTTGATAGGAATACAAATAACTATCGGAAAACCAAAGGGGATAAATCCAGCTTTGAATTTGGAATTGTAGCTAGTTTGACAAGTCTCACAATATTAAAACAATATTAAATGCATGATTGAGAAATTACTCCACAGATACCTTTGAGCACCCGATATATGTTTACATGGTAGATAAGTAAATATGCTAATTAATGTATATTTTAAAATATTAGAAATACCTTATATAATAACTGAAATGACAGAAATTAAAAATTTAATAATGAAACAGTTATTTCCTATTATGAGGTCAATTTGTTTCTAGTTTTATCACCACTTTCAAAAAATTAAAATCTGTTTATTATACAATTCATTTGGTGTTTTTTCTAGGATAAACTTCCCTAGAATATTATTAAGATCCTCTGTTATCTTCTGTTCATGCGGAAAAATTAAACATGAAAAAGTTTGAACATTTTAAATTGGTTTTAATTAAAAGCCATATACTCCTAGAAATAAATAGTATAGTGCATAAGATTGTCATATAGTACTTGTTTCTAAACAGCTATGTACTCTGAAAAAATTTTGAAGCAAGCAATTTTAATTTGTTTTTGTTGTTTTACTAGAAATACATTGTAGAAACCAATAAAAAGATGAATTATTTTCCAAGATAATTAGAGGGCAAATAGTTTAACAAACCAGAGACCGAACAAAACAAGATACAATTTTTTTGTTTCATTTAAATTTCTTGGCATCCATATATTTGTTTAAAATTGAGTTGCTTCCTCCAAATGTAGTATTTATAAGGATTTGGGTGTGGTGAGTATAAGATTATTATTTTCGTCTTCTGTGTGGTGCCTGAATGAAACCTGAAATAGAGCTTGCCAACTCAATGCAAATGAATACAACCACATGGGAGTCAGTTTAAAGTAGTAAACTGCTATTTGGTAGAATATTGTGCTCTAATGTAAATTATAAACAACCTCCCAGCCATTGATTGGTGCATTTTTGTTAAAATATCAGGAACTAACCATTCAATTCCATTTCATTTCATATTTTCACACAGATAGCATATTCTTTTGGACTCAGAAAAGCAACAGGCCGAGTACTTTGAACTGAAGAAGCAGCCTTAGAACCAGTCTTTCTGATCTCCTTCCCTCCCATCTCTTACCTCTCTTCCTCTCCGGAAGCACAGGCAGGGCCTTTCTCTGAAGTTTCTTTATCGAACTCAGGTAAATTCCTCCAGAAGGATTGTGATATGGTTAGGCTTTGTGTCACCACCCAAATCTCATCTTGAATTGTAATCCGCATAATCCCTATAATGCCCACATGTCAAGGGAGAGACCAGGTGGAGGTAATTAAATCATGGGGGCAGTTTCCCCCATGCTGTTCTTGCGATAGTGATGAGTTCTCACAAAATCTTATGGGTTTATAAGGGGCTCTTCCCCCTTTGCTGGGCACTTCTTTTTCCTGCCAGCTTGTGAAGAAGGTGCCTTGCTTTCCCTTCAACTTCCACCATGATTGTAAATTTCATGAGGCCTCCACAGCCATGTGGAACTGTGAGTCAGTTAAACCTTTTTCCTTTATAAATTACCCTGTCTTGGGCAGTTCTTCAGAGCAGTATGAAAACAGACGAATACACGCTGCAATTGTTTTGGGCCCCCTCCCAATAATCTCATCACACAGAGATGATTAACTCACATGAAAGAATATTTAGAGTGGACACCACATCCAGAACCCAGAGGAACTTTGTCTTAGGCTATTGCTTCTTTTTCCAGCCCATTTATCTCTCCCAAAAATCATTTATTCTTTCTCTAAAACTGTCTACATCTCCAAACTTTCCTCTTCCCTATGATGAAGGTATTTAAATTTCAACCATATGGCCCTTCTTTGTTTTTCATATTTTGTATGACTTCTCTGCACTTGCATGTTAATACATTTATATGCCTTTTCTTCTGTTAATCTGTCTCTGTCAGTTTATTTCAGCAGACTGAATTGTTGAACCTTCAGAGGAAAATTTAAACTTTTCCACAATTATCACTTCTTTTCTTTTTTCTTTCTTTCTTTTTTTTTTTTTTAAGAGACAGGCTTTTACTTTGTTGCCTGTAGGAGGTTGGTCAGGGTAGTGGGTAAAAGTTATAGGGAAAGATGCAAACCTTCTTGGAAGGCTGAGAGGTTTTGCAAAAGCTTTGAAAGAGGATTTGGCTGAAGGCCCCCAAATTCTCTTATCTGGAGCCTGAGAGCAAAGGGTATATAACAAGGGAATGTAAAGGAGCTTATCTAGATAAATTTATTTAGTCCTGTCTCCAGAAACCAACTTTTGATCATTCGCATGCAGGACTGCTCTCTACTCAGGGGTCAACAATGTTTATTACCCACAAATTGTGTTTGCTCCAAGCCTTTGTCATTAAATCTGTACTAAGTAAATGTGAGCAGGGCTGGCTTATGGGGGCTGCACTCTCTCGGTGGCTGCAGCACTCTCGGCGGCGGTGCTGAGCCGTGAGGTCCCGTAGCCATGCTGTCAGGCAAGATACCTGTGTCAGTGTACTTCTTTCATCTGTCGCTCAGCCAGTCTGTGGGACAGACTCGGCAACTGCCCAAGCTGGAGTGCAGTGGTGTGATTATTGCTCACTACAACCTTGACCTTCTGTGCTCAGGTGATCTTTCCACCTCAATCTCCCTAGTAACTGGGACTACAGGCACTTGCCACAATACCCACCTAATTTCATACTTTCTGTAGAGATGAGGCTTCACTATGTTGCCCAAGCTGGTCTTGAACTCCAGGGCTCAAATGGTCTTCTCATCTCAGCCTCCCAAAGTGCTGTGATTACAGGTATGATCCACTGTGCCCAGCCTCATTTTTTAAAAATATATTCAACTTTCATTTTCAGTGTATGTGTACATATATACTTAATATATTTGAAAATTATGCCTATTTTGCTTATGTAAAAAAATTAGGAGATCATTTTTTCTTGGAATAAAATCTGATCTAGTAAGGAATGGTAATTCAGGAAATGACCACTATGAAGTAGTGAAGCCCCTTTCCATACCAAATCTAAAGATTGTGACCAGGTAAATAAAATTCTCTGACCCATGACTGACACTTACCATTGTGAGGTATTCTAATAATCAATTCAATGAGTTTCTTTCTGCTTCTGGTTTTACATTTTCCAGTAAGAATGCTTAAATGGAATTATATTTTTTAGAAAAATGACAAAGATGTTGTAAATTCTAAGAAACCCTCCAAGAAAACATTTTATTCATTGTATGTCTAGTCAAATGCAATCCCCAATTGGAGAGTTGCATTTAACACTAGAAGAAGATTTGCTGTTAATGACTCAGAAAAAAAGAGAAATAAACATAATATTGGGAGAAAAAAACAAATCCCAACTCAGCCAGTAATTTGTTGGGTAACCTGGAACAAGTCAGGAATGCCTTCTAGATACATATATCTTGAATCATAAAACATGGCATTGACCTATACAGATAATCTTCATATTCACAATTTCTATTTATTTTCCTATCTTGAGCCTACATCTTGCCAGGTTTTGTAATTTATTTGTTTGAATTGACTGGACAATATTATATGATTGTATTAGTTCATTTTCATGCTGCTGATAAAGACATACCTGAGACTGGGAAGAAAAAGAGGTTTAATTGTACTTACACTTTCACATGGCTGGGAGGCCTCAGAATCAAGGCGGAAGGTGAAAGGCACTTCTTACGTGGTGGCAGCAAGAGAAAATGAGGGAGATGCAAGAGTGGAAACCCCTGATAAAACCGTCAGATCTCGTGAGACTTACCCGCTGCCACGAGAACACGATGGGAGAAACCACCCCCATGATTCAAATTAACTCCCACTGGGTCCCTCCCACAACACGTGGAAATTATAGTAGCACAATTCAAGATGAGATTTGCATGGGGACACAGAGAAAAACCATTATCAATGATTTTGATGGCTAAACGGGCATATTTGAGCTAAAGTAAAATTACAAAATGTTAAATTTCATGGACTAGAGAGATCATTAATCATTGTAGATTATTATTTGACTTTACCATAATTATAATGTGAACCTGATCAATAAGAATAATCACTTTTCTTTTTAGTTATGGTTTTGCATGGATCATTTGTAATAATTAAGTCAGAGAGATGAGCTGAAAGATTCAGTGAGGGTGAGAAGAAGGCTCGTAAAAAGATTTTTATGCCTACGCTGAAAAGTTCAGCCATCTTTAACACATTCTTAACACAGTCTCAAGCATAAGCTTGAGAGATTATTCCAGATACAATTTGGGAGAGCAATATATACTATGGCATGAAATATAAATGGATTACTTAATAAACATATATGGTATGCTGTGTGACATCTTCTTGTTATGTATCAGGAAGTGTTACTTTCCACAGGTTCTTAGGGTCCCATGCAATAGAAATTGACATGAGGCCAAGTCATGTATTTGCTATTGTTTCCCATGCAAGACTTTACTAGAGGTTTATGTTTAAACACAAGAGAAACAGCACTAGAGGGAAGGTTCTTCTGCTGGCTTCCTGACAGGAGTGCATTGTGGTGCCTTGAGAATGACATGTATAAATCATGATGTAGGTGAGAGTCACTACATGTGTGAGGTGGAGTGCAGGGTGCACAGGTGTAATAAGAAATCATGCTAACACATACATCACATGATCAGAAAATGGCAGATAAGCCCCTCCCTGGATGGGAAGTTTAGTGTTAAAATGAAGCAAGGAGCAAAGATCCGTCATTCTTCTAAGTCTTGTGCGCATACATGCAATAAAATTAACTTCCTTGAGTAAGATTTATTATAAGTTGAATGCTGCTTATCTTAGTTTAAGGTCCCGTGATCAGTGGGTATGGCGACTTGAGTAAGATTCATAGTTTCTTCAAGGTCTTGTGGTTAGTGGGTAAGAAAGAAAAAGAAACAAAATGCATTAGTCGGGGGAGGGGGAGGGATGACTTCCATCCCTACTCTGTCTCAGAAGCTATGCCTAAACTTGAGAAGTTATTCTGACAGTGAAATTAACATTATCTTCACCCCTTCATTACCCTTTTTTTTTTCAACTTTTATTTTAGGCTTGGGGGTACATATGCTGGTTTGTTACGTGGGTAAATTGCATTTAATTGAGGTTTTGTGTATGAATGATCTCATCACACAAGTATTGAGCATTTTGGCCGGGCACGATGGCTCACGCCTGTAATCCCAGCACTTTGGGAGGCCGAGACGGGCGGATCACGAGGTCAGGAGATCGAGACCATCCTGGCTAACACGGTGAAACCCCGTCTCTACTAAAAATACAAAAAAATTGGCCGGGCGTGCTGGCGGGCGCCTGTAGTCCCAGCTACTCGGGAGGCTGAGGCAGTAGAATGGCGTGAATCCGGGAGACGGAGCTTGCAGTGAGCCAAGATCGCGCCACTGCACTCCAGCCTGCGTGACAGAGTGAGACTCCGTCTCAAAAAAAAAAAAAAAAAACAAGTATTGAGCATATTATATGAGAGTTTTTCAACCCTTACCCTCCTCCTGCCTCTAGTAGTCACCAGTGTCTATTGTTCCTGTCTTTATGTCCATGTGTACTCAATGTTTAGCTTCCACTTGTAAGTGAGAACATGTGGGTATTTATTTTTCTGTTTCTGCGTTAGTTCACTCCAGCTGCAACCATGTTGCTGCAAAAGACATGATTTCACTCTTTTTTATGACTACATAGTATTCTGTGATGTATATGTACCACATTTTCTTTATACAATCTGCCTTTGATGAGCATCTAAGTTGATTCTATATATTTGCTATTGTGAATAGTGGTGCAATTAACATATGAGTGCATGTGTCTTTTCAGTAGTTTGGAGATTTCTCAAAGAATTTAAAACAGAACTACCATTGGACTGGCAATCCCATTATTGGGTATATACCCATTATCATATTTCTCAAGAGAAAGCTTTTATTTAAAAAACTGCTGCCAATTTACTCTGCGAGTAAATGAAAATTTGCTTCCCTTCAAGTGTAAATATGACCTAAACTGTCATTATTAATAATATTGATCTTTACAAACAGTTTCATCTTTACAATTTTCTCTTCCACCTTCCTTCTTCTTTATCTTCTTTCCTCCATATCCAAAATCATCACCTCATTTTTTGCCATTGACTCACATCTTTCTTGCTGTTTCTACTGTTAAAAATTAAACAGTGGTCCTTGTCATTCCTTACCAGAATTACAGAAAGAAAATCACAGATAGAATAGAGTGGTGTTGTGTGACATTATGTAATAGAATGTGCGACCTTACTGGTCTGTCTTTCTGCCTCCAATTTCTGTCTCCGACCCCTAAACTACTGTCTACTTTGGCTTCAGAATTACTTTCTAAAACGAAGATGGTATCAGAGAATGTCTACGATCAATACCTTCCATTGTGTTTCCGTGTTTAATAGTATTAGTAATAATAAAACTATGTTATACAACTTGAAACGTATTCCTCTCCAAAATCAGTCTGACTCATACATCCATCCCTCTGTCACTTTCCACAAACCATTCTCAGATTCAGCCATTCAAAAGTCTGTGAATTTTTGTGCTTGGCTGTTTTCCTTATGTACTTAAAATCATTTCCCCAGCATACCTCTCCCTTCCCTAACCTCTTTGTTTTATTGGCAAATTTCTACTCATCCTTCTTGACTAACTTCCTCTATTAATCAGTTATCTCTCTCTCTCTGCAATCATATAGAAATGCATTTTTCCCTCTATTCTAGAAATTGTCATGGTCTATCTGTGTTACAGAAATTAGTGGACAGATTTCAGGACACTGTGTACATTAGCAAAGACTACGCTTTGCAAAGTGTCATATAATTGAGGGCAAGGTTGTTCCAGCATAAGATTGCATCCACTGAAGGAAGGAATACATTATTATAATTTTTACCGTTGTGACATATGCTCAGTAAGGTTTTCTTATGCACATGAAGGGAGCACCTACTTCAAATTTACCGTCTCTGTGTGAGCTGGGCCAGCCCTATGCAATCTTGCTTCCTCCTCTGGAATGTGATTCCCTTGAATGCAGAAATTAAACTGTGTTGGAGGACTGAATAGAATAAAACTGTAATTATGTTATTGAGAATTCACTTTAAAGGTGACAAAGTTTATGTATTCTTATTGCAGTAAAAATACATAAAGTGAGATCTACTCTCTTAACACATTTTAAATTAGACAGTACAATATTGTTAACTATAGACACAGTGTTATATAGCAGATCTCTGGAGCTTTCTCAAATTGCATAATTAAAACTTTATACCCATTGAATAGCAGCTTCCCATTTCCCCCTCCTTGAGCCCCTGATTGTACTTTCTGCTTCTAGGAATTTGACTAGTTTACATACCTCATATAGATGGAGTAATACAATATTTGTCTTTCTGTGACTGGCTTATTTTCAGTAACAATAATATCCTCCAGGTTCAACCGTGTTGTCCCCTTGTTCACTGATAGTCTGAGGAAATGCACTGATTTTTATGTATTGATTTAGTGTTCTGCAACCTTATTGAATTTGTTCATTAGTTTAATTTTTGTGGTATCTTTAAGGTGTTTTACATATAACATCATGTTATCTGCAAACAGATAATTTTACTTCTTCCTTTTCTATTTGGATCCCTAAAAGGGATTTTTCTTTTTCTTGACAAATCATTCTGCCTAGGACTTCAGTACTGTGTTGAATAAAAGTGGCAAGAGTACGTAATCTTAGGATAAAATATTTTAGTTTTTTACCATCAAGTATGATGTTAGCTTTTAGCTTTTCATATATGGCTTTCATTGTGTTAAGGTAATTTCCTTATATTCATAGTTTTTGTATCATGAAAGGGTTTTTATATTTGGCACATGCTTTTTCTGCATCTATTGAGATGATCATGTGATTTTTTTTCATCCTTCATTCTGATAGTCTCTCTCCATATTCTACCTTTCGTTTTAAAAAGTGAGATGGTCCATAATGTTAACATGGATGTGGAAAAACATGAAATTACTCTTCAAATTACAGAAAAACAGTAATTACTTCCTTCGTCTATTACATGGTATTTGAGATGGTACCCTTGGTGCTAAAATGCTGGCACCCTTGGCATGTGGAATCTTTACAGGCTAACTGGTAATGCCATTGATAAGGAACCCAGAGGAGACCTTTAAGAATACAAAGTTATCATTTTCCAATTTTCTTCTAATTATATCTCTTGAAAAAATTGCAGTGTTTATTGTAGGATAAAGGTTTCACAGTATTAGGAGAAAGAAGTGTGAGTAAAACTGGACAAGGCTCTGCAGTGTGTAAGGGGCTCAAATTATGTGTAACTTTATGAACATTTACCATATTGATGGAGACTTCCGATTTCATACAACTCGCACCCGGTTTGCCAGTGGGCATCATGAGGTCAATACATGTTTCCAAATGTTCATGAAACAGATGGGTTTTCAACTTCTGTATGTGACCCAGGATATGAAGGGGTTTATGGGGAGGAGCTTAGCTATGAAAAAAAAAAGAGCAGTAATAACAAATTGAATTAAAGTCACAGGGCAAATGGAATGAGGCTATCATTAAAAATGATGAAGGAAAAAAGATAATAATACCCAATCTCTTCAGTTAAAAAAGAACTTTCATAAAACCCAAATTAGTTGCCTAAATGTAAAATTACATTTACAAATTCAGCAAAATATAAAAGTTTAATTTTTCACTTTCATATTCAATAAAATTAAACAAAATATTATTTTTAAACACCACGTATTAATTATGATTAAATGGTTATACATTGATGGTTGAATATTTGGAAATATACATAATATATATTGCTAGCAGGATGTCTGCATTAGCAGAGACAAAAATCTCAAGAGACTAAGAGACGATGAAAGAAGTAACATTGCAAAGAATCAGTCTAGTGCCCTGGATTTTTTCATACAATTATATGGGAGATGGCTAGAGTGACTTTCAATATATTTCACAACTGGTATGACATAGCTTCACATTAAATTGTTGTAGACAATAAATCAACAAGAAGGCCTTGCAGGGTCTTCTACTTGGGAATGAGCATGCTTGCCCTCCCAACTTTAGTTTGACATGGCAAGGCTGAAACTCCTTTTAGTATGTAGAGCTCTAGTGTGGGACTGGACAAATTTGCATAAGTTATTCAGGGATACTAAATCACATCCTGGCTTTTTAAAGTCAGCAATTCCTGGACTATCATCTGAATTGCTTCTGACGTAGGTTTGCAGACAGAAAAGGACAACAAAGGCCTGTAAGATGAATCGTCCAGAGGAAGAGGATATCTAAGTTGTCTCAATAAAAGTCTAAGGGTTGGTAGGGGAGGACTGATTATATACTACACAAGTAGCTGCAACTAGAAGCCAATCTCAACCCAGCCCTAGATCAAAAGGTTTTACTTGATGCTCTTGCCTCCCCTATACAGATCAGCTCAGTAACATCTGCTGATTTCTTATGTGGGAACTCAGGAATATACATACCAGATGTTCACATGCTGGGTATCACAGTGAAGATAGAGCCCAGGGTTGTGTCAATACAGTGATGTGCACTTTACAGTGTTTATGTGCTTTGAATGGGGTCCAGTAACCTCTCCTTGCAGAAGGTGCATTTCCTCGGGGACTGAGTCATGATTCTGCTCCCCCATTCAATCTGCCACCATTCACATGAGAGCAGACACTTCTTTAGATTTCTGACATTTGATAGGATGTATTTTTAAGGCTTTTGTAGCTTTTCCCCTATTCTGAGAATTTCTATGAATCTTGCCATATTTTTAAAGAACTGTTTATATTTTCAAAGAGCTTTTACATAAAGCATTTCAATTTTACTTAAAAGTTCAAATGGAGCAGCCAAAATGAAACAACTAGTCTTTTCTTGATGGCAGTGTTAGTCAAATGTTTCGGTTTTATACATGTAAAGCTGCCAAATGGAGGCTTAATTACAGCATTCAACAGGTGATTCTTAATGGCAAATCAGGCCTCACACATTTAATTAAGAACAGCTGTCAACTAGGTGGCTTGACATTATCTATTGTGCATAATTGCATTTTTCAATATACTTGGAAATATAATTAAATGCACAGTTTAATTGATGCATTCCCCCATATAAATTATTGCAAACTGTGTAATCTATTACATTGAAGGCATTATTTCACATTTGACAGCAGTATAATTTCATGACTTTTGCTCTTTGCTAATACTTTTTCTTACAAAACAAAGTATATGTAAAAAAGTAGTGACTTAATAAATATGAATGATAGATTAAGTGCTGTTATATTTTGATTAATTGATATAAAAACTACAGAGTCACAGAAATGGAAAACCAAACATCATATGTTCTCACTCATAAGTGGGAGCTAAACTATGAGTATGCAAAGGCATAAGAATGACACAATAGACTTTGGGGACTCAGAGGGAAAGGGTGGGAAGGGGCTCAGGGATAAAAGACTACAAATTAGGTTCAGTATATACTGCTCAGGTGACAGATGGACCAAAATCTCACAAATCACCGCTAAAGAACTTACTCATATAACAAAATACCACCTGTTCCCCAAAAACCCATGGAAGTAAAAAATGTTAAAAAACTCCACAGTCAAATATTAATATTCCAATAGTCCAATTCAAAGAATGAAATTTTCTTCCTTACTATGGTATTGAGAATTAAGCTTAGTATTTTTTTCTAAGGCTATAAATTAATATTACAAAGGGATTCAAAAGCTTTAGATCAAACTACTGTTCACATTATAATTACCAATTTTCACATATTCAGAGGAATTAATTTAAATCAAACATTTCTTTAATGGAGAATAAAAAATATTTAGTATTAATGTAAAACAGCATTTTTCATGAGTGGTAATTTAAGTGTAAAATCAAACTCCACATATATAATATGATACAAGATTTTTCATGTACAAATGAACTCATAGACAACAGGTAAGTACAATACCTCTTTCAAGTTACTATTATTTCATTACACATGCATTTAAAATAGCGTAAATATATTTGATACATTTTAGTCTGTATCCTGTGCACCTTGTCAGATAAAAAAAATCAGTGCCTTTCTGAAAGAGAGTAACTCTATAAAACCTTCCTTTTAGAGTTGCTCTGTCCTCCATTGCTGTATTTGAAGAATCAAACTGCCTTGAATCCCAAAGCCATAAGCAAATGAATTATTTTAACACGAAGGAGGTTGAAAGCAGATTCTTCCTTCCTTGAGCCTTTGAGAAGAACACAGCCCAGGTCAATCCCTTGATTGAAGAGTTATAAGATCTTAAGCAGGCCGGGTGCAGTTGCTCACGCCTGTAATCCCAGCACTTTGGGAGGCCGAGGTGGGTGGATCACGAGGTCAGGAGTTCAAGACCAGCCTGGCCAAGATGATGAAACCCCATCTCTACTAAAAATACAAAAAAATTAGTCGGGCGTGCTGGCGGTGCCTGTAATCCCAGCTACTTCGGAGGCTGAGGCAGAGAATTGCTTGAACCTGGGAGGCGGAGGTTGCAGTGAGCCGAGATTGCGCACTGCACTCCAGCCTGGGCAACAGAGCAAGAGTCTGTCTCAAAAAAACAAACAAACAAACAAACAAAAAAACACCTTAAGCAGAGGATCCATTCCAGTTGTGTCCGCACTCCTGACCCATGAAAACAGTGAGATAATAAATGTGTATTGTTTGTAGCTGCTAAATTTATGGTAATTTGTTATGCAATAATAGAAAACTAATATGCATAGGCTCCCAACAAAGCCAGGATGCCCACCCTTTGATATCATGGCACTTCTGGGTGTAGTCATAAAATTTGCTCACAGCTAGTGTAAGTCTTTGTTTATCTTTAAGGTTATGTTCTTTGTTTAGCAACTTGAGGACTGAGATTTTTATCTACATTTCTAGATTCTGTCAGAGTGCTTGGCACCGAATAGGTGCTCAATATTGTTTGCTGTCAGATATTAACCGCTATAGTGGGATAAATTAATTTTTTTTTTTTTTTTGGAACGGAGTGTCACTCTGTTGCCAGGCTGGAGTGCAGTGGCATGATCTCAGCTCACTGCAGCCTCTGTCTCCCGGGTTCAAGTGATTCTTCTGCCTCAGCCTCCTAAGTAGCTGGGACTACAGGTGAGCACCACTATGCCCAGCTAATTTTTGCATTTTAGTAGAGACAGGGTTTCACCATGTTAGCCAGGATAGTCTCGATCTCTTGACCTTGTGATCTGCCCACCTCGGCCTCCCAAAGTGCTGGGATTACAGGCGTAAGCCACTGCGCCCGGCCTAGATTAACATTCTTACTGAGACCATCAGGACAGTGAAGTGATAGCAAGGTATTGAAAATGCGGTCTATAAAAAAAGAAACAGGCTGAGCGAAGTGGCTCATGCCTGTAATCCCAGCACTTGGGAGGCTGAAGTGGGCAGATTACTTGAGCCCAGGAGTTCGAGACCAGCTTGGACCACATGGCGAAAACTCTGTCTCTACAAAGAATAAAAAATTAGCTGGATGTGGTGATGTGCTACTTGGTGGGGGGCTGAAGTGGGAGGATCATTTGAGCCCAGGAGTTTGAGGCTGGAGTAAACAGTGATTATGCCCCTGCACTCCAACCTGGGCAACAGAGAGAGACCTTGTCTCAAAACAAACAAACAAACAAAAAGGAGCAAAAGAAAAATAAAAAGCAAAAAGAAATAAATTGGGGTCTGAAAAGGATAGTTGTCACCAATATACATCTTAGAATTTGGGTCTATTCTGTTGAACTGAAAAAAAACAAAACAAAACCAAAAAAAACACCAAAAAAAGAAAACCCAGCATCCATGTGCTAGATATTACTTCAACATGATGGGAATAATTATATAAACACAACAGAAAATTTTAGTTTTATTGCTTTTTAGGCAACTTTTTGATATTCCACTGTAATGAGAAGAATGGAGAAAAATGAACAACTCTTCAGAATGTATATGAGGTTAAGTACAACTACATGAGACTGCAAAACAAAAAGCGGGGGATGGGGAGCCAGTTTATATTTACAGACACATCTTAAGTACCTTAAAATAACATGAAATCTTTTTGTTGTGATAAAATACAGACAACTCAAAATGCATTTTTAAACCATTTTTAAGTCTACAATTCAGTGGCATTGAATACACTCAAAATGTTGTACAACCACCACCACTATCTAGTTTTAGAACAGTTTTCTCACCCTTAAAATGAAACCCCATACTCATTAAGCGATCACTCACCATTGCCCTATGCCCCCAGTCTTTGGCAAACACTGATCTACAGGATGGATCAAGCTTGAAAACATCTTGTGAAGCAAAAGAAGCCAGACACAAAAGGCCACATATTATATGATTTCATTAACATAAAATATCCAGAATGGGAAAATTTATAGGATCAAAAGCAAGTAAGTGTTTGCCAGGGATTTTGGGAGAGGGATTAATGAGGACTGACTAGTTAATGTTCACAGCGTTTCCTTCTAGGGTGATAAAACTTTTGGAACTAGGTAATGGTGATGACTGAACATTGAACAGCATTGTCAGTGTACTTAATGTCTCTGAATTGCACACTTTAAAATGGTTAAAATGTTGTTTTATATTATATGGATTTTATCACAATAAAAAGTTACAATGGAAATATGAATAAACTATGAACTTAATAATGTATCCATATTGGTTCATTAATTATAACAACTGTATCATCCTAATTAATGTCAGTTAATTAGTTAATATGAGAAACCGTGTGAAGGTGGGCATATGGAAAAGTTCTGTACTCTTTTCAATTTTTCTATTAATATAAAACTGTTCTATAAAATGAAGACTATTTGTTAAAAACTCCAAGGAAAGAAAACAAAAGGGTAAAGAATATAGAATCTTTTTTTTTTAATACTTTAAGTTCTGGTATTCATGTGCAGAATGTGCAGGTTTGTTACATAGGTATACACGTGCCATGATGGTTTTCTGCACCCATCAACCCATCATCCACATTAGGTATTTCTCCTAATGCTATCCTTCCCCTAACCTCCAACCCCCGGCAGGCCCCGGTGTGTGATGTTCCCCTGCCTATGTCCATGTGTTCTCATTGTCCAATTCCCACTTATGAGTGAGAACATATCAAAAAAATCCAGGTATGAATCATGTCTCAACCCTCACCAGCAGCAATGCCTATCTAGTATAAGTCATATGATATTTCCAATCCTTAGTTTTCCTACCAGCAACATGTTAATAATCCTACATCAATTAAAATTATTTCCTTGAAAGCAATCAAAATAGTTGTTTTTCTTGAATTTATGTCCCTTCTACGAGGACTATATAAAAGCTAACCTTTGAATTATAAGATACATGTTAGAGCTATAAGATTAAGGACAGCCATAAGGCCCACCCTCGAGTATTGCAGGGCCTACCCTATGGGTCACTTAGCAGTGTGATGCAACCTGGCCCAGAATTTTTAAGAGACAAGGCCACCTCAGCACATTTATAAACCTTAAAGCTCAACCTTACAAGAAAAGCTTAAACTTCCTTTATGGAAGAAAGACCTGGTAACTCACCAAGAATGAATGCAATTATAAAGAAAGAGGGAAAGATTCCCCAAACTGAGAATAGTTTCCACACAGAGACCTTCCTGGTCATCTGGTTATCAGACCACCTGAGTATATCTGGCCCATGACACCAACATGTTTCCTCTAACCGTCTTGTGAGAGCATTGTCAGAATAAACTGATTGAATACTCAGATGGTGTCTAAGACTCATCTTTAATGCAAATAAGGCTGAAAGGGAAAAGTTACTCCTGCAGAAGCTGATTAACTAGGACCAACCACAACACCTGAATGTGACAAGCTGCAGCTTAAGATATTTGAATAATTAGAAACCCTAAGAGAAGTAAAGAAAGCTTTAGCCCTACTAGACTTCAATATGAATATAAACACTTCTTAAATGAATGTCCTTATGGCTTTGAGTGAAAGCAGTCTGACCATGTTATGACATAAAGAGTGTAAAATAAATCAGGATGGAGAATTGGCGTAAGTGATGAAAGAGACTTTTTTTTGAAAGGGAGGCGGAATTAGTCAGAAATAGAGAATGGGGTGAGACAAAGGGAAAAACAGAACTTTCAATCGGTGGTGTCTCAGTGTCATCAATGTTGTTAGCTTTCTTAATGTAACTGAGCCAAGTAGGGACAATCAAGGCTGGACTACTCACTTCTTGTGACTTGGAAATGAACACATGGTGCATTGTCTGAATTATGGCTGTTGTCTGCGCACTTCTAGATGGGCTGCTAAGGGGGGATACTATTGGTAATAGAGTAGAATTCCACACTTCAAAAGACCTCCGGCTGCCTTCAAGTCACCTGTTCCTGGTTACTCCATTAAAGTGGCAGCCCATGCTGAAAGCACAAACCACAATTCTGTCCTCATCTTTTTATTGCCCTCTCCACAGTAGCACAGATGTCAAAGGGAAGAAAGTAGAGTTCCAGGCTTGAAGTTCCTTTCATTCCCAGGTAAAGAACACACACTGAGCAGGACTCTCTGATGAAAGTGGATTTAACTTCTGTCAAAACATGAAGCAAAGCTTGTTTGCATATCATTTTATAAATGCTGTTCAAATAAAGCAGCTGTTTCAGTTAGTGATTAACAGTTTGAGATACATTAAAACGTTCAATGCATTAGAACACGATTGAAAATAATACATACATTATTTAATGAAATTACGGGTGACCCTAGCTCAAGTTTAATATAACAAAATGTATAATTATGACCTTCTATTAAAAATTCCTTAATGGAGAATTTCATTACAAAGGGAACCTCACTACAGTTTAAAATTAACCTAGTTATACATAGCAAAGGAGTCACTTATGAGCCTCTAATTTTTTGTGAACTATGTAATAGTTCACATTACAAAGTCTAATGGGCAATTCAAACTGGAAATAAAAGAATTTTATATACTCAAATATCTCTATATATTATATGTTATATATATTTATACGATATGTTATATACAAGTATATATTTTATATATTTATATATTTTTATATATTTTATATATATACTTATATATAGTTTATAAGTACTTATATAATATATATAATACTTATATACCATTTATAAGTACTGTATAATACAGTATAATACTATAGTATAGCACTACAGTATAGTATTATATATAATACTATACTATATACTATATTATATATACTATATAGTATGTATATTTTTATATATTGTTTATATTATATGTTTCATATAGATATATTTTTCTTTTTGGTGGTCATAAAACATGCCCCAAAATTTTTAAATATTGCCTTAAATTTGGTGACATAGTAGGTCAGTCTTAGTGACTTGATTCTAATCAATAGTACACTGGAAAGTGAAGTGGTGTGATTTTTCACACTAGTTCAGATACTGTAATGCAACTTCTGACAATTCTCTCTCCTTCTTAGCTCATCTGTCTTCCAGGAAGAAGCCTGGGCCACGTGGAGAAGCCATGAGTAAGTGTCCATGCCAACAGCCCCAGCTGATGTCCTAAACAAAAGGCAACATTAACAGTCAGGCATGTGAGCGAGGAAGACTTTGAAATGACTCAAGCCCCAGCCTCCATCTGACCCTGAGCTAGAACCACCCAGCTAAGCCCAGTCACCCCAGAAGTGTGAGAGATAACCATCATTATTAATTTGTGTTGTTTTATGCTAGTATATTTGGGGTGGTTTGTTCTGTAGCTCTGGATAACCAGAACATTCCTATATCCATTTTTTCTACTGATCATTATATCCGTCTTTTCTAGACGTATAGTTATTTCATAAAGTAAAGTAAATCTGTGCTCCCCTTACAATTCTAAACTTGGTGATACCTGTCCCTTAAATAAGTTTAAACAATTTGGAATAAGCCAGAAGAGACATAAAGGCCGTATATCTAAACACATTCTCTGTACATTGGAGGGAACTAGACTTGGCAGTGACACGAGACATGTGCGAAGAGTCATCCAAAGGGTCATCGAGGGAAAAGGGTGAGGACCTACACTCCAGTCTCAAATCAGCCAGCAATCTCCAGGGCTTGCCATTCTGTCTATCCTCGTAACCATGCCTGTTTAATATTTCATTTCATATTATGCTTTGTGCATAAAACAATCAGACATGAAAACAAGTAAAAACTTTTATTGAGTACTCACAGATTTTTAAGGCATCTGTGGCATGGGAACAGCCCTGACCAGTGTCACATCCACTGCTACTCACACTGTCACAAGAAAATAGGAAAATAACATCAACACAAGCAAAACTCAGAAACAATTATCTGTATTAGTTAAAACTTAGAGTCTTAAAAGTTATGGCTAACTACAATAGGATATGCAAAGACTACAAATGCATTTTATATATCATCTGGCTTTCTATATTGTTTAATTTTTTTAAAAAAAAGAAAAATACAAAAAGGAAACTAACAGGCGTCCCTATTTCCACCACTCTTTTTCAAAAGTAGATGATCTTCGTTTCGGACTAAATACGTATTATCTCCAAAAATGTTCTAGAACTTTCTTTCTTAAAAAATTATCTTCTATAAGCTGGTGTTTTCCACATTTGTTTATTTCTCATGAAGTTAGAAGGAAGCTTGGGCAACTGCATTGATTACATTTTTGAAAATTAATTTGCAGATGACAGTCTGAAGCAGCTAACTCCCTTGAAATATTCCCTGGTTTTCAGAATCCATCAACTCCAACCATATCCCTCTTGTCTTAGTATTTCTGATTGCTTTTCTCAACAAACTGTTAATTAATATTTGGTCTCTCAAACACAATTTACCTGACATTTTCTGAAAAACAAAACAAAACAAAACAAAAAACAGATTTGCCTACCTGGGCATCTGCTTTTGCCTGAAATCAGATCTATTGACTATTTCCAAAAAATTATAGTCTTCTTTCTACAACATCCTCTCATTTTGTCCATTTGATTTTTATGAGCAATACCGTCTTTTTATACCACACTCTTAAGAGGTCATATAGTCCATCTCACCATTTATTCTGTGCTTCTGGTTAACAATTTAGATAACTTTTTTTTTTTACAAAAGTAAAGATTACTTGATATTTCAATGTATTTTGATGGTTCTATATACATCTTAAATTAAGACTATTGTGGAAATAATAGATATTTCATCATTTATGTAAGAGACCATTCCAAAGTGGATAGAAGGAAGCAGAGTCTCCCTTAGTGCCTCCAGAAAGAAATGTGGCCCTGCCAGCACCTTGATTGTAGCCATGTGTGACCTGCATAAGACTTGCGACCCACAGAAATGTAAGACAGTAATTTTTATTATTTTAAGCCACTAAATTTGAGGTAATGTGTTACAGCAGCAACAGGAATCTAATACAGTCTCCAAACCTCGTTTTGCACAATACTTGCAATCTTCAGTCCTTCAGTCCCTTTTATCATAGTGTGTACAGAAACAGATTAATCTGAACTTCATCTCTATTACTTTTCTTTACCTGTTTTGTGGGAGGGTAGCTAATAAAAGTGAATAAATTTTTAAAAATTGTTTTAACAGCAATAATAGAACAACCTGATTAAAAAATAGGCAAAAGACCTGAACAGACACCTCACCAAAGAAGATAACAAACAGTAAATAAACATGTGAAAAGATGCTCTAAATCATATGTCATTAGGGAAATGCAAATTAAAGCAACAATGAGATACCACTATACACCTATTAGAATGGCCATAATTCTGAACACTGTCAAAAACAAATGCTAGCAAGGATATGGAGCAACAGAAATGCTAACACTTAGATAATGGGAATTTAAAATATTGCAGCCACTTTGGAAGAGAGTTTGGCAGCTTCTTAGAAAACTAAATATACCTTTACCATATAATTGAGCAATTGCACTCCTTGATATTTTTCTAAAGGAGTTGAAAACTTATGTTTACACAAAAGCTTACACAGGTATGTTTATAACAGCTTTATTCATAATTGTCAAATCATGGAAGCAACTAAGATGTCCCTCAATAAGTGAATGGATAAATAAACTGTGGTACATCCAGACAATGAAATGTTATTCAGCACTAAATAGAAATGAGCTATCGAGTCATAAAAAGGCCTAGAGAAACAAACCTTCAATGCATTATTACTTAGTGGAAAAAGTCAATCTGAAGAGGCTACATACTGGATGATTCCAAGTCCGTGACATTCTTGAAAAGGTAGAACTATGAAAATAGTAAAAAGATTAGGGGTTGGGAGTGGGGGATGAATAGGTGGAGCACGGAAGGATTTTAAGGAGGTGAAAAAACTCTCCTATGAAACTGTAACCATGGATACATGTCATTATACATTTCTCAAAACCCACATGATATACAAACAAGAGTAACCCTGGAGGACAGAGCAGCATGGTAGAACAGAAGCGTCCACCGTTTGTCCCCCATCTGCAAGAACACCAAATTTTAACAACTATCTGCACACAGAAAAGGACCTTCATAAGATCCTTCATAAGATCCATAAGCCCTTCATAAGATCCTTCATAAGATCCAAAAATCTGGCGAGCAAACATAGCACCTGGTTTTAACTTTACATCACTAGAAGAGGCACTGAAGAGGGTAAGAAAGACAGTCTTGAATGACTGATGCCACTCATCCCCACTCCCCTGGCAGCAGCTGCGTGGCACAGAGAGCGAATCTGTATACTTGAGGAAGGGAGATAGCAGTGACTGGGGGACTTTGCATTAAACTCAGTGATGTACTGTTACAGTAGCAAGCAAAACTGTGCTGAACTCAGCTGGTGCCTGACCATGGAGGGAGCATTTGGACCAGACCTTGCCAGAGTGAAGTGCCCAGATTAGTGGTCAGAACTTGGGTTTCTTGGCAAGCCTCGCCACCACGGGTTAAAGTGCTCTGGGGTCGTAAGTGAACTTGAAAGGCAGTGTAGGACACAAGGACTGCACTTCTAAGGCAAGTCCTGATGCTGTGCTGGGCTTAGAGCCAGTAGGCTGAAGTAGTGTGTGACCTGGTGAGACATCTCATGGGGTTGTAGGGGGAGTGCTTGCACCACTCCTCCCACAACCCCAGGCAGCACTGCATGCAGCAATGAAAGTGCTTGAGGAGGGAGAGGGACAAGTAAAGACGTTGTCTTGCATCTTGGATAGCAGCTCAGCCACAGTAGGATAGGAGAAACAGCAGATCCGTGAGGCCACCATTCCAGGCCCTAGCTCCCAGATGACATTTCTAGACACGCCCTGGGTCAGAAGGAAACTTGCTGCCTGGAAGGGAAGAACCCAATCCAGGCAGGATTCATCATCTGCTAACTGAAGAGCCCTTGGGCCCTGAATAACTAACAGTGATATACAGGTAGTATGCCACGGGGCTTAGGGGAGAGTCTGAAATGCGCTGGCTTCAGGTACCAGCTTTGCGACAGTGGAGTAGAGTACTAAGCAGGCTCTTGGGGTTTCCAAGTCCAGGCCTAGGCTCTTGGACAGCATTTCTGGACCTGTCCTGGTTCAGAGGGGAGCCAGCTTCCCTGAAGGGAGACTCCCAGATCTGGCAGCATTCACCACAAGATGACTGAAGAACCCTTGGGCCTGAAGTGAACATTGGCAGTGGCATAGCAGAACTCCCCATGGGCCAGTGGAGGTAGTGGCCTCAGGGAGAGGCTCCTCTGCCAATAGAAAGGGAAAGAAAGATCAGAAAGGACTTGGTCTTGCAGTTTGAGTGCCAGTTTACCGGCAGTTTAATAGAATACCAGGTAGATTTCTAAGGTTTTGACCCTAATCCCTGACTGCCAGACGGCATTTCTGGGACTTGCCTGAGGCCTGGGAACACTTGAAACCCTGAAGGGAAGAATACAAACCTGGAATGCTTGGCCACCTGCTGATTCTATTACCCTATGGTCTTCAGTGAACACAGAAACCTAGCCAGGTATTAGTCACAGCGAGCCTTGAGACAGACCCAGTGTTTTGCTGGCTTCAGGCCTGACCCACTGCAGTTCCAATGGTGGTGGCCACCAGTGTGTGCTTCTGTCACCCCATCCGCAGCCTATGGCCAGCCACTTCTCTCAATACTATTTATTAAATAGAAAATCTTTTCCCCATTGCTTGTTTTTGTCAGATTTGCCAAAGATCAGATGGTTGTAGGTGTGCAGTCTTATTTCTGAGTTCCCTATTCTGTTCCCTTGGTCTATGTGTCTGTTTTTGTTTTTTTGATGGGGTTTTCTAGATATAGGATCACGTTATCAGCAAATAAAGATAATTTGACTTCTGCTCTTCCTATTTGAATACATTTTATTTCTCTCTCTTGCCTGATTGCCTTGGCCAGAACTTCCAATTCTATGTTGAATAGGAGTGGTGAGAGAGGGCATCCTTGTCTTGTGCCTGTTTTCAAGGGGAATGCTTCCAGCTTTTGCCCATTCAGTATGATATTGGTTGTGGGTTTGTCATATAAGGCTTTTATTATTTTGAAGTATATTCCTCAATACCTAGTTTATTGAGAGTTTTTAACATGAAGGGATGTTGAATTTTATCAAAGGCCTTTTCCATGTCTATTGAGATAATCACATAGTTTTTGTTTTTAGTTCTTTTTGTAATTAATTACATTTATTGATTTGTGTATGTTGAACCAACCTTGCATCCTAGGGATGCAGCCAGCTTGATCATGGTGAATAAGCTTTCTGATGTACTGCTGAATTTAATTTGCCAGTATTTTATTCAGAATTTTTGCATCAATGTTTATCAGGGATATTGGCCTGAAGTTTTCTTTTTTCTTTTTCTTTTTGTTTTTTGTATCTTTGCCAGGTTTTTGTATCAGGATCATGCTGGCCTCATAAAATGAGTTACAGAGAAGTCCACCCTTTTCCATTGTTTGGAATAGTTTCAGCAGAAATGGTACCAGCTCCTCGTTCTACCTTTGGTAGGATTCAGGCATAAATTCATCTGCTCCTGGGCTTTTTTTGGTTGGTGGGCTATTTATTACTACCTCAATTTCAGAAGTCACTATTGGTCTATTTACAGATTCAGTTTCTTCCTGGCTCAGTCTTGAAAGGGTGTATGCCTTCAGGAATTTATCCATTTCTTCTAGATTTTCTAGTTTATGTACATAGAGGTGTTTATAGTATTCTCTGGTGGTTGTATTTCTGTGGTGTCAGTGGTGATACTCCCCTTACCATTTCTGATTGTGTCTACTTGTTTCTTCTCTCTTTTCTTCTTTATTGGTCTAGCTAGCAGTCTATCTATTTTGTTAATTTTTTTTAAAAAAAGCAGCTCCTGACTCCACTCTAGTCTTGGTTATTTCTTGTCTTCTGCTATATTTGGGGTTTGTTTAATCTTGGTTCTTTAGTTCTTTTAGTTGTAGTGTTAGGTTGTCAATTTGAGATCTTTGTGGCTTTTTGATGTGGGCATTTAGTGCCATACATTTCCCTCTTAACACTGCTTTAGCTGCGTCCCAGAGATTCTGGTACATTGTCTCTTTGTTCTCATTAGTTTCAAAGAACTTCTTAATTTCTGCCTTAATTTCATTATTTACCCAGCAGTCATTCCGGAACAAGTTGTTTAATTTCCATGTAGTTGTGTGGTTTTGAGTGAGTTTTTTAATCTTGAGTTCTAATTTGATTGTGCTGTGATCTGAGAGGCTGTTATAATTTCAGTTCTTTTGCATTTGTCTAGGAGTGTTTTACTTCCAAATATGTGATAAATTTTAGAGTTGTTATAATTTCAGTTCTTTTGCATTTGTCTAGGAGTGTTTTACTTCCAAATATGTGATAAATTTTAGAGTAAGTGTCATGTGGTGATGAGAAGAACTTAAATTCTTTTGTTTTGGGGTGGAGAATTCTGTAGATACCTATCAGATCCACTCGATCCAGAGCTGAGTTCAGGTCCTGAATATCTTTGTCAAATTTCTGTTAGTTTTTTATTTCTTTTCCCTACTTGATGGTGGGTTTTTTGAGGATCAGACCTGTGACTTATTAATTACTATATCTTTTTTCTGTACTAAAAAGAGTGCTTGAGGTTCTATCTAGTATGTATTTGTTGAGTGAGTACATAACTCAATATTACTGGTAAAAGCAGCAAATCATAGTATAAGAAATTATTTTCAGAGGGCTCATTTCAGAGCACAGATGATCCATTGACCATTTTTAAATTGTGGCTAAAATCTATCTTTTATACAGATCCTTGCCAGCAAATTCCTTTGGGATTAACTAGAGTAAGAACTTGTTAGCAGTTCTTGCTTATGCTAATGTTTTATAATTTCATGAAGTTAAATGTGTGATGAATAAAGAGTCTATTACCCATACCATTTCAAAGATTTTTCTACATTTACCTGTTGCTTTCAAAGAGCAGTTTATACACAGAGGCATTTTAAACATATATAATAACAGTTTCTATTATATCTTAACAACCCCTGAAAGATCATTTGAGTAACATAAAGCTCATTTGAGAAGACAAAATGTATTTATTTGGGATACATTAGCAGAAGTTACTCCAGAGAGGAGTATCAGGTACCATGAACTAGGTCATGCTGCAGTGAAAAAACAACCTCCAATATTAGTGAATTAGAAGAATAGTTTATTTCTTGGTCATACTATATGGCTATCATAGATTGAGACTATGCAGTCAGAAATCCATGCTGAGGGAGGCTCAGTTTTTACACGTTTCTACGATCATTGTATGTAGCAGGAGAAAGGAATCTGAAAAATTGTTCAGTGGCTCTTAAATTTGAAACTAATGTACAGCACTTCCCCCCACCCATGTTTTTTGCCAAATAAGTTATATTTTCACACATAACTTCTACATTGTCGAGAATGTGTAATATCACTATGTGCCGAAAAAGAGAAGAACACGAACATTTTTAAAACACTAAAAACAATTCAGTCATTATATGGAACTTTAATTTTTTTTTTACTTATTTCCTAGTGTTTCCCTGCTGATTAAACATAGATACCAGACTGGGGATTCTGTTAAGACAATGCCATGTTATTTGATTTTTAGTTTACCTAAGAAAGTTAACCATAAAGGTACTTTGCAGTATTCTCATTCTGGTTATACTTTAAAATGTGCATTCTTACATTTTGTTTTTGTTTGGAATTCTGTTCAAAAACAAATATTAAAGAGAGCGTTATAAAAATGTAATATTGTAGCATTGCTAAGCATTATTTTATTAAGACATAAAGATCAAAAGATCTTTTTCTGCCTACAATGTCAGATTAAAGATATACTAAACAACTGTGTTATTAGGGACAAAAATAATTTTTGTGTGTCCTTATGGAGAAGATTATTAGTTGTTTACTCCAATATCCTTTACCCTCTTCTCCTCACTGACAAAACCTTGATTTCAGGTAGTCATGAAAGGTTTCCTTTCATGCCAAAGTCAACTTCTAAATGCTTTTCTACTGTGCATTTCATTTTGTTTTTAACATGGCAAGCTTACCATAAAAAGGCAAATATCTTTACCTGTAACTACAGTCTATAGCTTCAATAATTTTGGAACTTTAGATCTAATCAAACAATTTCCAGAACTATATATATATATGTATGTATTCACACACATACATTTTGAAATGTGAAACAGAATTCTTATATTTTATCCCAAACTGTGAAAGTAGACTCAATTTTCACTGTTCATTAAACTGAGTCAATTTTGTTACTTATACTCACAGATATACCCAGAACATTGCTTTGAAGTTTGACTCTCATTTAATATGTGATACTGTAAATTATTTAAAATAAAAAGTAAAAATACAAAATCTTTTGAGGTGACCCAGGCAAAGTCAACATCACAAAGAAGCCATTTAATCCAGAAGATACAAAGGACCAAAGAGTTCGATTTGTAGAATTATTACTAAATAATTTGGCAATAATAGAATTTTATATTTTCAAATAAGTTAACATAATGTATCTAAAATATCCTAGTTTTATGGTACCTATAATGCACCCTTCGAGTTCAATGCATTAATCTATCTTTTATTGTTTACTAAAGCCAAATAATAAAGCAATTATTTGAATGTTCTGGTTAGTTATAATATGAACATTTAATGAAACAAATGCAGTGAGCCAAAATGTTATTTTTCTTAATAACTTCTCTCCCAAAACAACCAATAGAGAAATAAAATATCTTGCAGTATATACAATCTTTATAATTTGCTTAAAATATTGGTTTGAGTACAATTTACTTGGGGAAATTATAATATACTTCTTTTTAATCATGTGCTAAGATTAAATTTAAAAGTACTTGAACTATTTTTAATAAGCTAGGCACAAGTACATTGGCACATGGTTTCTGATGACTTTCACATTGAGAAGTCCCATGTTATCAAAATTGTCCCAATTTTTACCTGCTGAGCACTTTTTACATCTAAAACAATTACATAGACAGAGACAAATAAACATGAAAAAAAAACTAAAAGCATAGCAATAAATGTCAATATATGCCTCAATTTCATTAATAGAAATCTGCATTATTTTCTTTTGACCTGGCCTTCCTTGTCATATCACTATTTTTATTCTATTTTATCTTTGTTGGGAATGAAGTTTTTGGTGTTGCAAAAAAAGAATTAACATGAGAACAAATGGTCTCTCAGCAAGACGAGCTTTACTTTCTGCAGAAAGGGTGCTACTCAATAGCTATCCAGCCACGAGAGCACACCCAACAAAGGAGACAGAGTTATTTATAACCTGATGCAGCTACCCTACTGCTGTGTCCAGTTCCTATTGGCTGGAATAGGACCTCTCATTTTACACTTTACCCAATTGGCTATTAGTTTAAAACTTTTTTAACTGGGTAAGGGGAACAGAACAAAGAAAGAAAAGGAAATTGCCCAGGGATAGTTAAGGAAGCATCTCCAAATAAGGAATGGCCTACACTATGGGCTGGGGCTTGTCTAGTTCTGTCCAAGCATGCTGGAGCAAGCTAGGACAGCTGATTGGGAATATATATATACTATATATAAATATATATATACACTATATATAAATATATATACTATATATAAATATATATACACACTATATATAAATATATATACACTATATATAAATATATATATACACGATATATAAATATATATACACTATATATAAACATATATATACACTATATATAAATATATATACGATATATAAATATATATAGCATTTTATATATACTATATATAATATATATAGCATTATATATATACTATATATAATATATATAGCATTATATATACTATATATAATATATATAGCATTATATATACTATATATACTATATATAGTATTTTATATATATACTATATATACTATATATAGTATTATATATATAAACTATATATAGCATTTTACATATAAACTATATATAGTATTATATATATGCTATACATAGCATTTTATATATATTATATACAGTATTTTATATATAGTTTTTATATATAATATTTTATATATATAGTATATATATATTAATACTGGATAGCAATCTTATAGTAAGAAATTGTGACTTTTTATAATCTTTGAAGAATAACTTTCCCATTTCTCACATCTTCAATAGCTTTCTATAGTTTAAAAGAATTTAGAATTATAAAGCAATCTAAGTTTTAAAATCTCTGCTTCTATACTCGGAATTCAGATTCTTTTTAAACTATAAAAAATAACTTCATAAAATAGATGAAAGAAGTTTAAATATTAATGCTATCAGGTGCATATTTACCCTAATTCCATGTACATAAACCTAGTAACACATAAACAGATATATCTGAATAAAGTTTGAATAATATAAATTCATCGTTTTGAATAAATTAAAATCAACATGTAAATTGACAGTAAATTTACTCAGTGTAAATTATTCTGAATTTCCTCTGATATTTACAAGTTTAGAAACCACAAATTTACCAAAAGTTCATGTGCTTAACTAATTGACTAGGTTCAGTTCATTGTTATGGCAAAAATACAAATGTTGAAAATGACACTGAAATAAATAAAGCAAAAACTATTCAGAACTCTGTTAAAATCTAGAGGACCACAAAAAATTCTTCCTTTTATTATCATTAGTGAACAGTAATAATAATTAGAATAAATTAGAATTGAAGATGTCTAAGTCTTCTCGTCTTGCAACTCAAAATACATATGTTACAAGAGGAAGCATAGGTTTTCAGGCTCCTCTTCTGGAAAGTCTGATTCAATTGGTGTGGAATAGGGCCCAGATGAAGGAAGAGAAAGACCCTCTCATATTATTTTATATTGTTTTATACTCAGTACCTGTTTTAAGAAAAAACAACAAGGAGGTAAAACCAAAGACAGGCAGCCCGGCGCCAGGCCCAAAACCAGGCCTGGGCCCGCCTGGACTAAACCCAGTAGTTAAAAATCAACTTATGATTTAGAAGCCGACGTTATTCATAGATTCCTTACATTGTATAGAAGAACATTGTGAAACTCCCTGCCCTGTTCTGTTCCTCCCTGACCACTGATGCATGCAGCCCCTGTCACATACCGCCTGCTTGCTCAAATCAATCATGACCCTTTCATGTGAAATCTTTAGTGTTGTGAGCCCTTAAAAGGGATAGAAATTGTGCACTTAGGGGGCTCGGATTTTAAGGCAGTAGCTTGCCGATGCTCCCAGCTGAATAAAGCCCTTCCTTCTACTACTCGGTGTCTGAGAGGTTTTGTCTGCGGCTCGTCCTGCTACACAGAGACTTATTTTTTAAATAAATACCTCAAAATAGACATATCAGAAAAATTTCAGGAAAAAATGAACTAGCCTATGCAAGAAATTTTGTGAAGGCCCGTAATCTAAATGACACCTGGTTCCAAAAGACAAGCTAACATTATGCTTAGGATGCCAAAGGCCACCTCTGTGTTCCTGACAATCATCACTCCTCACACTGACTCGGCCACGCTTGCCAGAGAAAAGACCTCAGGGTACATTTAGAAGTTTGCTGGAGGTTTGCCCAAGATGACAGACTAGAAGCATCTAGTGTGTGCATCGCTCTCATGGAGAGAAATAGAAGGAGTAAATAAATACAGTACCTTCGACTGAAACATCCAGGTACATACATTGGGATTCATCTAGAAAACAACTCGACCCATTCAATACAGAGAAAAGCAAGGCAGGATGACTGCCCACCAGGGAGTGACACAGAGCCAGGGGAGTCTCCCCCACTCAGGGAAGCAGTGAGTGAGTGAGCAACCCCAGAGACTCAAGCTTCTCCTATGGATGTTTCCAAACCTCGGCTCAGGAGATCCCCTTGTGAACCCACTCCAGCAGGGCCTTCAGTCTGACACACAGAGCTACATGAGTTTTGGCAGAGCAATCGCTTAGGCACACGCAGAGCCCCAGGAGTTTGAGATACCCAAGCTTTCTGGCAAAAGCAGTTGCAACTCTGGCAAGGTGGGAGGTTAGACCCTCATACATACCCCTAGGAAAGGGGCTGAATCCAGGGTGCTGAGCAGCAGTGGTCTGCAGGCCCCACTTCCACCGCACCTCACAGGATAAGACTCACTGGCTTGGAAATTCAGCCAGCCACAGGTAAGCAGATGAGGACTAAACTCTGATTTTCTTATCTTGCCCAAATTCTTGCCTAAGGGGTCTGAGGAGTCATGCCCTACAAATCAAAAATTATCATCACATGGGTTTTATTTAACCCTATATATTGTGACTTACTTTCCAACCTGACTCTAGCATAACATCAAGACACAAGGAAGAAAATCAAAATATTTTACCGCACAACAGGTTTCTTTGCCGTATCTTGAAATGGCCCTGCAAAGCTGTCCTTTGTGGGGCAAAATTTGCGTCTATAAAGAATCTCTATTAACATAGCTAGGTCTTTTTCTGCCAGGCCCTCCTAATCCTAAAGAGATTGACTAAAAGTCTAGCACCTTTTAAAGATCTGAATAGGAAACATTTGTCATCTATTGTCTCTAAGGGCAACCACTATAAGATTTCAAAAGAACCTTGGTCTCCACAATCTTTTATCTTAATATGAACATTTCCTTTCTATGATCCCAGGTCTTTAGACAAACGCAATCGTCAACAAAAAAATGTTTACATTTACCTATAGCCTGGAAGCACACTCCCGCCCCCGCACTTTGAGTTGTCCCGCCTTTCTGGACCAAACCAATGTATTTCTTAAATGCATTTGATTGATGCCTCATGCCTCTCAAAAAATGTATAAAACCAAGCTGTGCCCTGGCCACCTAGGGCACATGTTCTCAGGACCTCCTGAGGGCTGTGTCATGGGCCATGGTCAGTTTTATTGGGCTCAGAGTAAATCTCTTCAAATATTTTACAGAGTTTGTCTCTTTTTGTCAACATCTGTATAATATAATGCCTATAGTTAACAATATTAAATTATGCACTTAAAAATTTGTTAAAAGGCCGGGCACGGTGGCTCATACCTGTAATCCTAACACTTTGTGAGGCCAAGGCGGGCGGATCAGGAGGTCGGGAGTTCGAGACCAGCCTGGCCAACATGGTGAAACCCCGTCTCTACTAAAGATGCAAAAAATCAGCTGGGTGTGGCGGTGCACACCTGTAATCCCAGCTACTGGGGAGGCAGGGGCAGGAGAATCACTTGGACCGAGAGGCGGAGGTTGCAGTGAGCCGAGATTGTGCCACTGCACTCCAGCCTGAGTGACGGGGCAAGACTCCGTCTCAAAAAAAAATATTTGTTAAAAGGGTAGATCTCATGTTCAGTGTTTTTACTACAATAAAAAAGGGATATAAGGTAACTTTTGGAGATGATGGGTGCTATTACTTTGATTGTGGTGATGGTAATAGGGGTATATGCATATGTCTCAATTAATCAAATTGTATATGTCAAATGTGTAATTTTTGTATATCAATTATACCTCAATAAATATCTTTAAAAAAGTCAGTAACAAGATTAATCAAAGATATTTTTAGACTCATTAGCACATAAATGCACAAGAGGGCACATGCACACAATTAAAATATTTTTCCATTTCTTGATATTTGAAAACTAACATCATATTCTCCTCTTTTATTTTAACCTGATATTTTGGATGCTTTCTTATTTGAGGTGTAATGTGTATCAATATTATATACTAAAAAGTTTTCACCATTCAAACTTAATCATAGTAAGAGGCAATTTATGAATTATGCAAGACATATGACAGACTTCCAGATGTACCTTTATCACTGTAAACTTAGGGTTAGGCAAATACATGAGGAAGTGTTCCTCTCCAGAGAGTAATTTAAAATTAAAGCTGGGCACTGAATTCTCATTTAAATTTTATGAAATTATGAGGCAAAAAATCTCCAATGCTTTTTTATTTCTATAAATCTAAAGTGAATCACCAGGGAAATTTATTTTGGTGATTTTCTATTAAGTCTATTAAATGGCTAGAAGGGTAAAACATTCTGACACACAAATCAAACGATTAAGCCAATATAATAAGTATTTGATCTTTTATATACTATGTATGTGCCATTTAGAGAGAAAATGGCATCCCAGTTGCTTTTGTTTGAGAAGCTTCTGTTTAATTACAATAAACAGGTTTTCCTTAAAATAGATGAAAATATACATTGTAAAAGTGAAACACAAACTGACTGATTTAAAGAAATACTTCATGATTGAAATTTGTAAAGCAGTGGTTCTCACTTTCCAGTGTGCATAATAATCACCCAGGGTGCTTATTTAAAATGCAGATTCCCCAGGTTTTACCTGCAGGCACTGGGATTAGATAGGTCTGTTATAAATCCTAGGACCTGCATTTAAAACATACCCCCAGGTACTTTTGATATGAGTTGTCCATACATTCACTCTGAGAAATCCTGTCCTAGGCCTGTTCTCTAACTTTATTCTGTGGAGAAATCCCCTGAGGATGTTAAAATGCAAATTCTGACTCAGTAGTTCTTGAAGGTACGTGAGGATTCTAACATGTTCCCAGATGAGGTCAATGCTTGTGGTCTGTGGGCCACACTTTGAGAAGCAAGTTTCTAAAACCTAAATATTTGTCAAATATTCTAGGAAACAACACTCTCAGAGCTAAAATTAAATAACGTCAAAGTCATTAATCTGTAATCACCAAGGAAATGCTTAGCAACAAATAAATCAGCTAAGTGGCTGTGGAGTATGTGTATGTGGGGAGGGTGAGTCAAAGATTTTTAAGTGCTAGAAAGGGGGTTAGTTAGTGACTATGCCAATTAAGGATTAAAAAATATCACTTTAGAGAAGACTTGAAGAGTACATAGACCTGTACATGTTGGATTTAATTCAAGTCCCACTATTCATTGGACAGAAAAGTGCCTTCAGTTAGGTCCAGTGAGTGTCACTCAAAGGTAATCATACTTTTTCAGCTTCCGCTGGCTAGAACAGTTGTGACAAAGCACAACATTCAGTTTTGCATCCCCCAGTCAAATGCTGCTGCAGATGAGAAATTTTTTAAACACTGCTAATGGAGAATCTGTTCAGCAAAACAAGGCAGATGATCATGAAGTCGTAAGTTTGATTAGCAGGTTTCCTTTCTAAGTTTTCCTAAGTGCCCTCTTCCCAACATCGTTACTTCTGTTTTCATCTTATGTTAAGAAATTCATTCAACAGTTGATAGAACCCAGTTTCAGTCTCTTGATCTAAAAACAAACCAACCTAATATTGACTGCTTTATGTGCTGAGTGAAGAAGAAACCCTGTTTACCATTCACTTCCCTGAGTTGCAGCCGTCAGACTTGAGGCTCCCACCCCATGCTCAGTTGGCTGAGCATATAAAAGCCATAGTTTCCTTAGGGAATCCATGAAATACACGTGTTAAGTTAGGTAAGTATATAATTATATGCAATACCAAATACTTTGACAAATGTTAGGATATGTAAAATTTTGTGAATATTAATAGTTTGAAGAAAGCATTCCAGTAACTCCCTCAGGTAGTATCAATCCTGGAAAAACTATAAATGTGAAAGGAAACATGTATTTCAGGAACTTACACACAGATGCAATGGACCTGGAGAGAAGGAAAGCTGTTTAGAACTGAGGTTGGGCAGAAAGTGAGTGACTGCAGGTGGCAAGAAGGAAGCCATGAGAGGGGGGCCTGGAGAATCATTTTAAGTTCTGTTTTTTTGCTTCTCACCACAGTTGTCTAAGGACAATCACCATCTTCCCCTTCACTGCAGAAAAAAGCATCAGTAGGCTGGATGTGTGGATGCCTGATTCCACAAGATTGGGTGAGAAGGTGACACAAAAAGGGGGCAGATGGACTCCTCAGACAGTCACCCCTCACCCACTTTTTCCAGTTCCCAATGGCTGGTGGATTACAATATTAGGGCCTCGCGCTGCTGCTGAATTTGCCTGGTGAGTGAGCATCAAACAGGAGTGAGCGATAGCAATTTATATGATGCCTAAGGCTTTGCAACCTGGCAAGTGATCTCTTCCCTGTCCTTAAATTCCCTGGGACTGACACGGACCACATTGAGCCTTAGGAATTTCTCCAGTACTCAGGACCAGACAAAGTGGCTGATGCTTCATCCCCATGTGAGTTTACTGTAACTGCCTGCCGCCTGAGAGGTTCTTCCTGCCCACTACATAAAGAAAGACCACGACATTGTAGTATAGAAAGAGTTTAATAGACATGAGGCTAGCCACATCACATGGAAGACAGAGTTGGTACTCAAATCATCTCATTCAAAGCTCCTACGTTAGGGGTTTTTCAAATGCAGTTTGGGGGAAGGAGTTAGGGGTGACCAGGTAACAGGTGCTTGCTTCTGATTGGTTGGAGCAGAGATGAAATCATAGGGGGTCAAGGCTATCCTGCCAGCTGAATCGCTTCGGGGTGGGGCCACAGGAGCTGGGTTGGCAGGTCCAGTTGGAGCCATGGGTGTCAGACATGCAAAAAACCTGAAAATATATCTCAAAAGGCCAATCTACAATAGTGGTGTCATTTGCAGGAGTAACTGGGGAAGTTGCATATCTTAAAACCTCTGGAGTAATGGCTGACAATCGTTCATGGCTGAGCCTTAGCAGCACATAAGTTCCTCCCCTCCCTCCAGCCTGATGGCCTCCCACTAGGATTACAAAAGTGGCTGAGTTTGGGGGTAAGGCCTATTATCATTTAAACTATAGCCTAAATGTCTTTGAAAGTCAGCTTGTGCCAGTAGCCCAGGAATAATTAAGGGAAAGGCAAGATGGGTAGTGGGGAGGGGTGGGTAGCTCAGATTTCTTTCACGGTCATAATTTTCTCACTGATATAATTTCTGCAAAGATATTTCATATGTTTTTATAGATGATATATATCATATATAATATTTATTATATATTATATATATTTCTGCAAAGATACGTTTCATATATATATATATATATATATATATATATATATATACCTAATACACCTGACATAAGGAAGAGACAGGAGTGTGTGTATGTGTGTGTGTGAATGTGTGTGCTCATGAATATTTATCTGTATGTGAGAGTGTGTGTGTGGCATGCCTGTGTTTATAATGTGGTGGTTACACTGACAGAATTATATTCTAATAAAAGCACAGATATACAATTTAAACCTCAAATTATCCAAAAAAATAAAGAAAATATTCTAGAAATTTTAGTTTTAGACTGATTACATCCTTGCCTTATTTCATTTCTCCATTATGATGTAATCTACTTCCTGGTGACTTAAGACCATGCATAGGCAGTTGGGGGAAGTACAAAAAGTTGCATGAGCTTCAGGCTTCTCTAACCCAGAGCCACATTAATGACAGGCTAAAACCAGCCCTGTCACTTAGCCACATGTGACAAAGCAATGTCCTGTTTCAGAGAATTTGTGTGAGAAAATCGGGAAGTGTACATGTTGATTATTCAGCAGGAAATAAGATCACACCACACATCTCAGTGACAAATGCTCACTTCCTATTCTGAGCATCATTGTCGTATAAGCCACTCTGTCCATACAAGCATCTCAATGCCCTCCTCACACAACTAGCCATCACTCAACCCTCCTACAGTCATTCCTTCTACTTGCCACTCTTGACCTGCACACCTAAAATTCTTTATAATCCATTTGGAAGTCTGGCGATATAATTGAGACTGACAAAGAATCCATATGGATCTGCAGCAACCTCAATTCTTCCCTCCTCAGAAGAAAGAATTTGACTGAGGGGCATAGGGCAAATTGAGAGACTGAGGCAAGTTTTAGAGCAAGAGTGAAAGTTTATTAAAAAGCTTTAGAGTAGGAACAAAAGGAAGTAAAGTACATTTGGAAGAGGGCCAAGCAAGTGACTTGTGAGATCAAGTGCATAGTTTAACTTTTGCCTTAGGGTTTTATGTGTTGGCATACTTCTGTGGTCTTTCATCTCTTTTCTCTTGATACCTCCCTCGGGGTGGGCTGTCCTCATGTGCAGTGGCCTGCCAGCACTTGGAGGGGCCACATGTGCAATGTGTTTACTAAAATTGTGCACATGCTCACTTGAGGTGTTCCCTTTCAGACGAGTGTTCCTATATATCAGTTAAACTCTGCCATTTTGCCTCTTAGTGCACATGCTGGAGCCCATTTGCCCAACTCCTGAGATCTTACCAGGAAGCTGCTGATCACCAGTTTCAGGTTTTTCCTATCTGTTGGGAGACTGCCTTTCCTTGGCACTGGCTGTGACCAATTATTAGTTTAGAGAAGCAGTTTAGCAACCACCTGACCATCACCTGATGGTTCTTTGACATTCCTGGTGGTCGAGGGGCATGCCCTGCTCATGTCTGACTAGCTACCTACTGTAACATAATGAATTTATTTACCATACATCCATGCTAGAAAATAATATTTAGATAAGATAATGGCTACAAAAAGTCAATTATAATAATGTCACAACCATTTTATAGAGATTTAAAAATCTCTGTTCCCCACTCTTTGAGATATAAACACTTAGAACACTGTTTGGAACATCATCGCCTCTCAAATGCCAGCATTAGTCTTATCCTTATAATAGATTTGCTCCACAGAACACTCAAGAAAGTGATGAATGTTTCCATCAGAGAAGACAAAAGTATTTTGTCTATAGATCACCATCCCTTAATCTAAACAGAAACATAGAAATAGGTCCTGGACTGCTTTAACTTAAATCACAAGTCTCCGTGGCAGAAGGGTATGTAAGTTACTACATGCATAGCGAATGACTCTTTCATGAAAAGCGCAAATGTGATCCTAAAAAGCTGATCTTAAAGCAACACTTGATATACATTCTTTCAACTTCTATTATAAAATTAGGGACTTGTTTTCTCAGAAAGAGTATCAGAGCAATAATGTCAGAGGCACAGAAGCCAAATAATTGTGTACATGTAAATAATGTGCACATCTGTGTGTCTGTACATACGCATGATCTCAAGGAACAAGAGTTGCCTAGAGATAAAACTTGGAAGAAGAGCCGTTTCTGTGATACTCCTTGGCTTGAGAAGAGAAGAAAAGAAATACAAAATTGAGGACTTCACCTTTAAGTAACAGTCATTGTAGTTCCTCCTGTTGCATTCTTGGGTTTGGAAATCAATAGCAGTGAAGCTTCAGCAGGACGAAGGAAGCAGCTGGTGCATTTCACAGTGATATTTATTTGAGTTCTTTTGAATAAAAGATATAAGAGGAAATATTTTGTTTTGAGAAAGATGATGAACAAGCATCTGTTCAGTATAGACTTTGTGCCCAGTGCCTACACCCTTCAATGTACTCACTTCTACAGTAAAATTAAAGACTGTTGCAGTTCTCAAGAAGCATAAAATGTAGTTATTATCATCAGTTAAGACATCTTGATCCAGTCTGTAAAATCTGAAGATAAGTTCCGAATATATAATCTCGCAAATAAAGGATTTTCTAACAGCAAGCCATAGGAAATTATACATGTATTGTGGTGTTTGAAATTCATAGGACATTCTGTGCTACTGTTTATGCAAATACTTTGTCATGTCACTGGTATTTGGTAATATGGAGAAAAAAATAAGAAAGATTTTTAAAAATGTGTAAAGCCATTACAGAAAATAACATTCAAAACTCAAAACTAAACAATGGTAGATAATGGTAACTGTCAATTATAAAAATGAATAAAGAAAATATGTTCATCTTACTGAATCTTTAATTTAGGAGTCTAAAACACAGTATATAGTAAAAAGGCTATGGAGGAGGACACTCCATTCACCAGTTTGTGGGAAATTACTATAGCACAGCATCTTGACAACTTTGCATGATTCTACATAGGCTGTATACTATTTTAGCTTTTTGAGGTGCAGTAATTAGGAAAAAAAACCATATTATTCCTAATCTCCTGGATTTTACATTCTCTAGGACATGCCCGATATTGATTACATCATTATTAAATAAATTTGAAAACCACAAATCATGCATGTGACATCCAGGAAGTAATATGAGAACATATAATAGGGAGTGTGATATAGTCTGATGGGTTAGAGGTAGTGACATATTAGGTGGGAAATGAAGGATGGGAATGAGTTAGCCAGACTGAGCAGGGGAGGAAAAAAGACATCCAAGGCCTCTGCTATGGAGGAGTATAATGTGTTTGAAGAATTAATCAAAAGCAAATAGTTAAGGCTTAGAGAGCAAGGGCGTTACTGATGCCAGATATAGCCAAGATAAAGCCATGAAAGGCTGCGTGTTGAGATACTCAGTCTATATCCTAATGGCAATGGAAAGCTATTGAAATATTTTAAGCAGAAGAGTAACAAGATCAAATTTCCATTTAAAAAAAGACTGTGGCTCTAATATAGGGGATGTATTGCTGAGAAGCCTTTTAGGAGTCTTTTGTGGCAATCTAGTTTAGAGATAATGATATACAAATTAGGGTGGAAGAGATGGGAAATAGGAAAAGATGCCAAATGTAAGATATATTTGGTAAAATCAACAGGACCTGATAATGGATTAGATCTTCATGGAAGTTGATGAAAAAAGAAGTGTTCAAGAGTGACCATAGACTAAATAACATGCACTTAATAAATGTTTTTATGGTCCCATACTTAAGTCCTATATTATGCGTTGTATAATGCATTGTATTTTTTGTATTAGGCCAATGGCTGGTTTTAGAACCAAGAAGATTTAGGTTTGTCTTGCATATAGTAATTCCTTTTTCATTTAAAAAATTCGTATAGTCATATTGAATCATGTAAATGACAATGACTCCTTTCTGAAGATATTAGCAAGTTCAGAATCAAACATGTGATCCACTTCAAGGAAGTGCCCTGGGTCTCCAGGTATTTATATCATAATGATAGGCTTCATTTTAATTTCTTTACTTTTCATTTTCTTTTGATGGCTCAATGAGAATAATGAGGAAAAAAAGAGTCAGAATTGTTTGTTAAAAACTCTAATTCACTTTCATGACAATCGCTGTATGGTTGTAGCTAAATTTAGGCATTAAGTCAGAAGGAGATATAAATATGTTTGTGCACATCCTGGTGTAGCTATTTAATCTTTTCTATATAAATGCTGTCTCTTAAGATGTGAATTCACAGCTGACAGAAAGAGCCACTATTAATTGTGATTTGGACAGGATTTAAAAAAGAAAGTGATATAAATTGGTAGATAATTATATAATTTTGATAATGATAAAGCTCAGAATTGCTTTTTTCTTATTAAAGAAAATAAAATATTTTCCAATCTCTTCTTATAAAAATCCAAGAATTTAAAATTATTTACTTAGCCAAGGATAAGAGACATTTAAAGAGCAATTTAATAATACTATTTGAATCCATATAACAGAATTCAGCCTAGAAAGTGCGAATAATTCTTTTCTGCGTGTATATTGTCAAGAATTGCCTCTTCTCTGAACCCTTCCTTCGTTTCCCCCCAAATACTCAAATGCTTCTTTTTCCGTTTTCTTTTAGTTATCTATACATATCTTAAATATAGCCATTGTCAAATTATATCCTTATTGTCTATTTGCTTATCTGGCACTCTGCTGGACTGCAAACACTTGCAAATAGCATTTCATCTTTGAATCACCAGCATTTCAGATTTAGAGTGGAGGAAGGAACAAATACTTATTGATTGTGTCCTATATTTTACAGTTAAAGCACTAAATGTTTTACCTACATAATCATATTTATTATTGACAACACTGTAGGCAAATATTCTGATCTTCATTTTACAAATAGGGAAACTGAGTCTGGGTCATAGAGCCTCTACATGTCAGAACTGAAGCCCGGAATTTAAATATTAAATGACATGAGAGAACCCTGCTAGATCACAATTGCATCTGAAACTAGATGTCTCATCTCTTCCAAATAGAAACCTCATTAAAAGTAAAACAAAATATTTAAAAGAAAAAGGCAGCTATTTAGAAGGAACCATCAATGAGCATCTGCACAGAGGCTGACAAGGGAAATAAAACTGCCGTGTAGACTCCTGGAGAAGCCATCAGTGTCCAGAAATGCCCATTCACTTGGAGAGAAGGATGGGGCTCAGACAATATCACGCTCCTCAAGGACATTTTATGCAGACAACTGAGCATAGAAACAGAATGTTTTCCACCCTAAAGTAAAGCCTTCCAATTGACAAACCTGTGCAAATACAACATCATAATTTACTTTTCTATTGCTTCTTTATAAAATACAAATGGATAAGAAAGAATCACAAACCGTTACAGTAAGTACTCCAAAATGAAACACTGAGATCAAGATAAACAAATGTAACAATTAACCTCAGAGAAAATAGATATAATTTAGTTAACAGATGAGAACTTAAAAACATAATTATCATTAATATCATCAAGAATATTAATGAAGATATTGTAACCCCAGTTTAAGAATAGGATAGTATGAAATAGGCATAATCAGATAACAAAAACTATCCGTTGGATATTTATATATCCAAGAGCAAAAGTCATAGTACTAGCAGTAAACTTTCCAGGAGGCCTGGGAAGCAATAGGTCTAAATGAGAGTAGCGCAAATTGATACAGAAGGGTAGTATACTAGAAGGAAAGAACTCCAGAGACTAGGTATAATTCTTTCAAATTCACTGGCATTCTCATCTTACAATGGGGAAGTGAAGACATACTGTATATACTGGTGGAATAAAAATATAGATAAAAGTACAAATTTTACTATTGCAAAGTAACCAAGATAAGATAAAAAGAGGAATGTTTTGGAGGTGATGATAACATTGAGGGGAAATAAACTAGATTCTAAGGTATAGATAAAAGTCAATATATTATATAAAATATTGATACACATATAGTGCCATATATATGGACTATTTAGAGATAGAGGATATTACAGGAAAAACTAAAATCAAACATAATTAAACAAATTAAAGTAGTTGACTCTGGGAATTGGATTTCTAGCAGCAGAAACTTTTCATTTATTTTTTAAGTACATGCTTATAATACACAGAAAAAAATACTATGGGAATAAGAGGATAACACAAATATGAGTAAAATATGAGTGCAATATGAATACATGTATGTATGACTACATGTGTAACTGTGCATGTATGTATGGTCACTGAATGTTCATTTGTCATTGCAGTCAAAGTTTCAAGTATATATGTATACATTCTCCTATAAAAAGTAAAACTGTGAATAAACAGAAATAAAGCACTGCTAAGAAAGTGATGATAGTCTGTTAGGTTCACTCAAGAGATGTATTATCAAAAACTAGCTCTGTTAAAGAATATGATTAAGTTCTGTTTCAGTTACACACACATATTAGTTATAGGCCTAACATATGGGAGACAGGCTTATAAGAGTGCCATATCTGGACTTAGATTGCCTATGTTTGAATCTATATTCCAACACTTAGTAGCTGTGGGATCTTTGAAAAGAAAATTAATGTTTTGTGGTTCAATTGTATTTTGAAAATGTAGATTTTCATTTTTAATGTAGATTAAAAATGTAAAATGTAGATTTTCATATTAATGGTTAAATATGAAAATCTACACAAAGTGCATGCTGTATACACGTGGTACATAGTAGATGTTCAATAAATAATAGATATTAATATTTACTATATAATGTGGTTATCATATATATGAATATACATATGTATTATAAGCACAAATGTGTGCATAAAAAAACAATAAATGGTCCAACATGCTTAGTTGTATTTATCTGAAAGGTATTTGTATTTCTTTACGTATTTTTCTGTATTTTCAATTTTTAACAGTATGCCAGATTTACATTTGTAATCAGAAAAATATATGGCATTTGTTTAATTAACAGAACAATTACCTATTGGGTAATTAAGTTCTGGGTGATGGCTACACTAAAAGTCCAGACTTCATCACTGTATAATTCATCCATGAAACAAAAAACCACTTGTACCCCTAAATCTACTGAAATAAATATTTAAAAAAGAAAAAAAGGAAAAAAAAGATCTTAAGCTGACACAGTAGAGGTTTAGTGTGGTTATCAGAAATAATTTCTCATATTGAGATCTTTTAGCTACTGGAATAGAATATCAGGTTTATGAAATTTTGCTTTTTGGAAACCTTAAAGCTGTACAATTATATAATCCTATTTGAAGGTTGGAGAACAGACCTCAGATTTTCAAAGCCCTAACAAGTTCAATGGTATTGGGATAGTATCCAAATTAACTTGTATTATCAAAGTCATCTTTTATAATGGACATATTGAAGTATAGCTACTTATGTGTCTAGAAAATGAGTGGGTTGCTTTAATAAGAATTTAATTCTGGGATTTCATTCATAACATGGACATAGTTGAGAAGATCATTACTTTTCTCAAATTTAATTAATCTGAATACAGTCATGACCATTAATAATCAGATTTGATGGTGAAATAATAATCCTTTTAGAAACAAGTATGCACTGAAGTAAACAACCACAGGCTAATGACACAAAGTTCAGGCAAGTTCACTGTTGCAACTGGGTTGCAGTTATTTTATTTACAATTTAAACTTGACCCCAGTCCAATTATTTTCATGTTTTGTGTATTAGAAGTTATAAATATTACAGTTAAAAAAGACAGGCAAATACATAATTAAATACCAAATAAATAACAAATTACTTTTAGTCGTTATAATCCGTCTCCTTTCACTGAGAAAAAATAATTGAAGTCAAACAACTAAAATGCAAGACTAAAGTACATCAGTGGTTATCAAATTTGTTAACTCTTTAGTACTGACAAGGCTATTTTAATATAATTCTTGTATTATTTAATATGACGAATTACCATCATTAACACCTATTGATATATCAAATGACATTTGTTAATCCAGGAAGAGTCATGCATTAGGTTATATTTATATTACCAAGACTATTTCCTGGGGTTCTCCTTCATACCTTATTTTGTTATATATAGTTGTAATTAACAAACTCTTTAATTAGTTTAAGAATTTGGATTTTGCACTAAATATATTTCCCCCTTTGTTTTAATTTCCTAGGAAATATTTAAGACACACAAATATGCATACAAAATAATTTAATGAGCACCTGTGTAACCAACATCACAACTGAGAAACAAAATATTGTCAGTATTGTTTAGACACCTCCTGTACCTCTACTCAATATAATAATAATAAAAGAGGGTATAACCCTCTTTCCTGACCACCTCATCAAAATAAGGCCTTTCCTGGATTTTGTATTAAACAACCTTGTTGCATTTTTTACACTTTTACTATATATAAATGTGTCCATATACAAAAAAGTATTTTTCATGTTTCCTAATTTTACATAAGCATAACTTAATTTTTAGTGATTTTTGAGTTTTTGGATTTTTCCATTGATATTATGCTTTCAACAACTATCCATGTTGATTCCAGCAGCTTTGATTCATTCATTTTCTCTAAATCTAATTTCCCATTATATATTTTAACATATTCTCCATACAAATGATACTTTTTTAACAAGTGTTTTGGTATCAGAGAGATGCTAGTAGCATTCTTATACATTTCTCCATGTGTAAATGTGCTATAGTTACCCTAGGATACATACCCAAAGGCAGATTTGATATTTCACAGACATTCTTCATATTCAAATAAATATGCTCTTGAAAAATGGCTCTACAAGATGATTATTTTGATATACTCACTATCAATGATATCCCTAACCCAATGCCTTATTGCTAGACTTTATGGCCATTTCAGTTTCTTCTTTGGTGAATTCTTGTTTATGTCTTTAGCCTTTTTGTTTTTTGTTTTTTTTGCAATAGGATTGTTGGAATTTTAGTTCTTTAGGTTTCTGAGTATTAATCCACTGTTATTTATATTTATTGAAAAAAATTTACCAGACTATAGCTCATCTTTCCACAATATTCATAGCTTTATTTAAACTTTATTTTGAGCTAACTATAGACTCTCAAGATTTACCAAAGGAGTACATACAGAGTGAACCCAGGTTGCCCCAGTGGTGTATATGTTCCTAGTTTGTTTAGTTTTTAAAGAAATACCCCCCGGGCGAGGTGGCTAACGCCTGTAATCCCAGAACTTTAGGAGGCCGAGATGGGTGGATCGCCTGAGGTCAGGAGTTCAAGACCAGCCTGGCCAACATGGCGAAACCCCGGTCTCTACTAAAAATACAAAAATAAGCGAGGTATGGTGGCTTGTGCCTGTAATAGCTACTAGGAAGGCTAAGGCTGGAGAATCGCTTGAACCCAGGAGGCAGAGGTTACAGTGAGCCGAGATTGCACTGTTACACTCCAGCCTAGGCAATAAGAGCTAAACTCCCTCTCAAAACAAACAAACAAAAAACAAAAAAAGAAAGAAAAGAAAAGAAAAAGTAATTCCTTAACGTTTTCTAGAGTTGCTGTGCCATTTTACATTCCCCGCACTGTATGAGTGATCCAACCTCTCCTCGTCATTGCTAGTATTTGTTATTATTACCATTTTTTATTTAGCTGTTCTGACAGGTGTGCATTGATATCTCACCTTGGTCTTAACTGGTATTTCCCTGATGTCCAGTGAAGTTGAACCTCATTTCATGTGCTGATTTGCCATCTGTATATCCTCTTCAGGGAAGTACCCTTTCATATATTTTGCCCATTTTCTAATTAAATTGTTTTTTAGCTATTGAGTTTTCAGGGTTCTTTATATATTCTACATACAAATTCTTTGTCAGATATGTAGTATGGAAACATTGTCTCACAGACAGTGGCTTGTATTTTTATATTTGCTTGACAGGGGACTTTTGCAGAGCAAAATGTTTAATTTTATGAACTCTGATGATATTTTTATGGATCATGCTATTATGTAATAAGAACTTTTAATCAAATCCTAGGCTACCAAGATTTTTTCCTATATTTTTATAAAAGTTTACAGTTTTATAATCCACAATTATGTGTATGCCCTATTTTCACTTTATTATTGTATATAATGTGTGCTGGAGTGCAATGGCGCGATCTTGGCTCACCGCAACATCCACCTCCTGGGTTCAAGCGATTCTCCTGCTTCAGCCTCCCAAATAACTGGGATTACAGGCATAAGCCACCATGCTCGGCCTTGTATCTCTATTTATTTGTATCTTCCTTGACTTCTGTCATCAGTGTTTTATACTTTCAAAATACAAGTCCTACCTATGCTTTGTTAGATATACACCTAAGTGTTTCAGAGTTTTCCTTTAAAAAAAATGATTGTAATTGGTACAGGCTGAGTATTACTTATCGAAAATTATTGGGACCAAAAGTGTGCTGGATTTCAAATTTTTTCAGACTTTGGAATATTTACATATACATAATGAGATATCCTGTGGATGGGACCCAAGTCTAAACACAAAATTCATTTATATTTCCTATATACCTTATATGCATAGCCTGAAGGTAATTTTATACATTTTAAAAATAATTTTGTGCACAAAACAAAGTTTTGATTGCATTTTGACTGTAACCTATCACACGAGGACAGGTGTAGAACTTTCCACTTGTGGTGTTATGCTAGCCCTCAAAAAGTTTCAAATTTTGGATCATTTCAGACTTTTTTTGTTGTTGTTTTTTGAGATGAGAAATAACTATGTTGCCTAGGCTGGTCTCGAACTCCTAGGTTCAAGCAATCCTCCCATCTCAGTCTCCCGAGTAGTTAGGATTACAAGAGTGCACCAAGGAGCCTGGAGATATTTTGGATTTTGGGATTAGGAATTCTCAAACTGTATTTCATTTGTAATTGTTGTTTCCATGTGTTCATTGCTAGTATGGAAAAAATAATTTTTGTGCATTGATTTTGTGTTCTGTGACCTTACTTAACTCACTTATTGGTACTAGAAGATTTTGCAGATTATATTGGATTGCACATGGAGACAATCATAACATCTATGAATAGAATCAGTTTAATTTCTTTATGATCTTTATGTTTTTTATTTTCTTTTTTATGGAATTATCATGCTGGCTAGAAATTCCTGTATAATATTAAATAGCAGTGGTTACAGTGGACATTCTTGTCATATACTATGTTGAATAGAAGTGGTAAAAACAGGAATCCTTGTCATGTTCCTTCCTCTTTTTTTCATTATTTCACCACTGAGTATGTTAGCTGTGCGTATGTGTTTTTTTTTTTTTTTTTTTTTTTTTGAAACAGAGTCTTGCTCTGTTGCCAGGCTGGAGTGCAGTGGCGCAATCTTGACTCACTGCAACCTCTGCCTCCCAGGTTCAAGCGATTCCCCTGCCTCAGCCTCCCAAGTACCTGGGACTACAGGTGTGCACCACCACATCCAGCTAAGTTTTTGTATTTCAGTAGAGACGTAAGCAGAAGCAAGAGAGGTAAGCAGAAGCAAGAGCGCTAAGTCCTTACCAGCAGCTAAGGTAAGGAAACTTAATGAGAAAGGAGGAGACAGTCTAACCTACAACAGAAGTAGTAACACAGGGTCTGACCCTTCCTACTGTGCTGTGAACCTTGGAAAGCTTTTAGCTGGCCTGGCTTCCTGTCTGTTCCACCCACACATATTATCATGCCCTGTGACAAAAAGCACCCATCCTTCCCACATGAACAACACTTTGAGGCTCCCAGAGAGACCCAGGGCCTGGAGAGTGCACAGGTCTCAGAGGCTGCAAATGAGGCTTCCTCTTCATCCTCCTGTTCTTTGATACCCTGGAAGAGGCTTCTACCCCTAAGATGCCCAGTATACTCTAGGATCCTCAGATTGCCAACTCCTCTTCCTTCACCTCATTGAGCAAATCAGATAATGTCTCCAGCAGCCAAGAAGAGGGGAAATAAATCCAAGCACCTTGCAGTCCCCACCAGATACTGAGAACTTGCCCATACTTCCTCTAGATGAAAAAGTGGAATTGTCAAAGTCCTGCTGCTCAAGTATGAAAATGAACAAGGCCATAAGAATGGCAGAAAGGCTGAAGAATGTCATCAGGAAATACAAAAACCACTTCTCTGGAATGCTCAGGAGAGCCTCTGAGCATATGGAGCTACCCTTTGACACTGAAATAAAGAAAGTGGACTTCATCAACCACTGCTATGCTCTTGTCAACAAACTGGACCTCAGCTATGGTGGGATGCTGAGTAATAAGAAAGGCATGCCCAAGACTAGGCTCCCAATTCTTATCTTGTGTGGGATCATGATGAAGGACAACTGTGCCTTTGAGGAAGAGATCTGGGAAGTGTTGAATATGATAGACACATATTTTTGGAGGAAGTTCTTCATCTTTGGGGAGTCAAGGAATTTTATCATCAAAGATTTGGTGAAGTAAAAGCAGCTGCAGTACTGGCAGGTGTCCAATAGTGATCCTACATGATATGAGTTCCTGTGGGGGCCCAAGAATCCAGGCTGAAACCAGCAAGATGAAACTAGACTTTTCATGCTAGAGTTCTGGCCAAGATTAATGAGTCTTACTCTTGTTACTTCCCATCCGAGTACAAGGAGGATTTGAAAGATGGGAAAGAGAGAACCTGAGTCAACACTGCAGGCAAGTCTGGCTCCACTTTCATGGCTTATGCGAGTTCCAGTGCCATGTTCAGCAGCTTCTCCCAGCTCTAGCGAATACTGAGGTAGATTCTTCACTTTGGTTTTGAAGGAGGCAGTTAGAGGTCTACATAGTGAAGAGATGAGTGGAGCTGGAGAAAAGAAAATAGTGTATAACATCTTTGTTTTTCTGTTCTACATGGGTAACATGAAGATTTATCATTTGGGCGGAGATTATTCAAATGTTGTTCCTTTTACTATAGCCTTTAGTTAGTCACAGAATCTAAGTTTATGAATGATATTGGCCATATATTTATTGTATCACCAAAATTAATCTAACAGGTCTTCTGCTAACCAGCACCTAAATTGTTTTCCATTTGTGAATATGTTTATAAAACTAAAATCAACATTTTGTAAATGAATTATAAGGCTTTCTAAAAAGACAGATACAGCAAAATGTAAATTTTGTTAAGATGAGTAGGATACAACAATTTTACATTTTTCTAAATATTCTCATATTTATTTTCAAAATTTTCTTTAAATTGTTATTCTCACAAAATGTATGTTAATAACATATACATTTATATTTTACTTCATCAATTCTTTCAATTGTAGTTGAACTTAAGAGTGAGAAAAAACTACATCACTGTTATTTTGTATTCCCCTTTTGTTTAATTAGGTTAAACAGAAAATTATATTATAATCTCACTCATATAAGCTAGATTTATACAGTCATGTCCTGAGTAACAGGATATTTTTAGCAGGCTTTATAATTCCGTTATATCAACAAAGCACTTTCCCTTCATTTGAAAAGCAAGAATTTCTCCAGAATGACCAGGTGCCAAGGAATAGGGCCAGACCAAAAAACACCTCAGCTAGTGAGGATCCAGGGGAAGAGTATTGTCCAGAGTCCATGAGAGGAACCATATGCAAAACCAAGTCCAGAGACCCCAGTGCAGAATGGCTGTTGGGATTCTGAATCTAGAGTTCAGTATCATGTGGAAAAAGAACCAGAAATGAAGAAAGTAGGGAACGTGGAGGAAGGTCCTGGACAAATTGCATGAATAGTTTTAGAAAATCTCTGAATCGCCATTGCCAGCTAAGTGGTAAGGTCATCTCAGTGGGCAAGTCGACCGCATGAAATGAACAGAGGCATGCAAGACACCCACCCTACCTTAGAATCCTCCTACCTACAGTCAGGCAGAGTACAGCTAGCTCTCTTGTGTCACCCAGTGATGTGAAAAATGGATTCTGAGAGAGCTATATGTTTTGACGACCCTGGGAGTCCAGCACACCCTCACGGATGTTCTAGGGCTGGGAGCTGTCTGGAAACCTGCTGGAAATGAGTTTTTCTTTTTTCATGGAAGTTGGCTCTCCTCCATTGAGATTGGGGCCATGTGAATATTTGATATTGCTGAGTGTGTGACAAACAGTTAAGACAGGCTAGGAGTCCCAGAGTGGTGAAAGTTAGTATGGAGCTTCAAGTATGTATTGCTTTATTCACTTGGTAATTAAAAGGGGGATATGCTGTTACTGATTACCTCAGTAACTCTACAGATAAAAGGATGGGTGTCAGTATGTCTTCTAAATCAATCCAGATGATGTCTTCTGCTCAGACTGCTTCCCATGGTTTTTGAGTCTTTGGCACACCAGAGAGTAGGTGTACCAGGGCTTTAATTGCTGGCCTACATTGCCACTACTTACTGCTTGGAGCATGAAGTTGGCCCAAGGTGCAGCCATATGTAGATTGGATAGAAAACACACAGAGATGGCACACATTCTTTTTAAACTGGCTGGAGTAACCGGGAAATATGAAGTCCAATGTCCAATGTAGAAAGCATACATCATCCTGGTGTGTGTACCCCTGCCTCCAAGATTTTAGAGCCTGGGGATCAGATGTCCATTATAAATACTCACAGTGATAATTTCAGATGGGAATTAGCAAGCTGGGTGAGCAACTGGAGCATTTTGAGTTTCTTCAATGGAGGCAAAAAGCCTGACTAGAGGTAAGGCTCTACATTCTGAACCAGAGAATGTTACCTTCTGGTACTTTGATTCATTGTTTCATTTATTCATGCATTCATTCATTCATTCATTCATTCATCTATCCAGCAAGCACACTGTAAACAGTATATGCTGTAGGTGAGACATGTGTCTAGCATGCCTGAAAAAATGAAATGAACTACTTGTCTCTACAGAAAATTTTAAAAATTAGCTTAGCCTGGTGGCGCATGCCTGTAGACCTAGCTACTGGCAGGAGTGAGGTGGGTAAATTGCTTGAGCCTGGTAGGTCAAGGCTGCAGTGAGCCATGATGGCACCACTGCACTCCAGCCTAGGCAACAAAGCGAGACCCATCTCAAAAAAGAAAAAAAAAAAAAAAAAAAGACTGTCTTAGTAGGTTTTCTGGTGTTCATTAAGAGAACAGGTAATTTTAAATTTCAGACATTTGTCTACAACATTATTTAAGTTCCTAATTTCCACATTCAGGAGGTTTTAGAAATCATTCTGGACTCAACATGAACAGTTGTTGGTTGATAGTCCATAACTTGCCCTGAGACCTTAGGAAAGCCACTTTGTCTCATTATATCTATGACACAAAGATTTTGTGCTCATCTGTCGTCAAACTGTTCCACTAAATTTTAAATTCAGTTTCTTAAAAAAAATTTAAAAATACGATCACAATGTTTTTGCTGACTCTAACATTTCATGTGTCTACTGGTGACATATACCTACATAAATATGTTTTCAATTATAATAGCTAGTCTTGAGGTTTTAATATATTTAGGAAGTTTGCAAGGCTTTGTGAGAATGACATTTTGTGACTTAGGCACTGTCATTTCACAGCTGGTTCATAGGAGCAAACTGTGCCAAAGAGTCTCAGCAATGCAAATTCATGATTTTCTTAGGTGGAATTTAATAACAAAAGTTGCTGTAATTGATATTTTATATTGTATTTATTTATTTTTTCTTCAGAGAACCTTAGCTTATGTTTGTGAATAATGTTGTCTTACCAGGAGTAGTGGTGTGAGTCTAGAGTCCCAGCTACTTGGGAGGCTGAGGTAGAAGGATCACTTGAGCTGGGAGTTCAAGTCTATCCTGAACAACATAGTGAGATCTCATCGCATTAAAAAATAAAATTGTCAGCCAGGCGCGGTGGCTCACACCTGTAATCCCAACATTTTGGGAGGCCGAGACAGGCAGATCACGAGGTCAAGAGATCAAGACCAGCCTGGCCAATATGTTGAAATGTCGTCTCTACTAAAAATACAAAAATTATCTGGGTGTGGTGGCGCGTGCCTGTAGTCCCAGCTACTCTGGAGGCTGAGGCAGGAGAATCCCTTGAACCTGAGAGGTGGAGGTTGCAGTGAGCCGAGATCGTGCCACTGCACTCCAGCCTAGTGACAGAGAGAGACTCTGTCTCAAAAAATAAATAAATAAAATAAAATAAGTCTTTATAATTTTGTCCAAATTCTTAAGTCTGAACATTATTTCCAGTAAAAGGCTAAATAAATAAGGGAATCTTGATTCCAGTTTAAAATGTTTACATTTGATTTTTATGTCATAATTAAATTTTATGTTTAAAATAGCTAGTCTTAATATTAAGTACTTTAAAAAATGACAAATTATATAGAGAAATATAAACATATGTGCATTAGAAAACTAGTAATTATAGTTAACTGTAATAACCACTGCTTAATCTAATTCAGACTCCTGCTGTTACGTGTTTAAGAAGACCATTTTTTATGCTTCTAAAACTTTATTTTGAAGTCAGAAGTTACTGCAATGTGATTACAGTTCAAACTCTAGTAGCATCCAAAGTCCTTGGATGTCTTTGCAGTTATGGAATTATCTTAGTAAGTACTGTTGAGGAAATTTTCTAAGTCTTATATCTCTTCTTCTGCCAAAAATGGAAAGAAATGAAATCGAATACAAAAGAAAACATCTCAATACTTGTTGTCAGAAAATGAGAAGAAAGATATTTTCCCTTTCCTAATCTGAGCCCTTTACCCTTTGAGACAAGAACTTAGTTTTTCCAATTTATAACTGAATCCTTATCAAGTATTACTCTAACCCATATGCAGGCTGCACAGTTATTTTCTCAAGGAGATTACAGTTACAAATTAAACATCACCGGAACATACATTTAAAGACCAGTATGAAAAAGTATTTAAGATAAGTATAAAATTATTTTACCCCAATAAAAATATAAATAAGAAAGCATTAAAAAGTCTGAAGAAAAAAATTAATATGAATCTGATCAAGTGGTAAAGTACCTGGTACACAAAATTAAAGTATATCAGCCCCTAATGTGCCGAGGGAAAAAAGGCATAGAGATGTAGATAAATCTGGTTGAAAATTTTATGCAAACTAGTAGAAGATATAGTATCAGATAAAATATAACCAATTAAAAATATTATACTATAAAATATTTGCTAAGAGTTAACAAGGAGCAAATGGTTTGAAAAAGGCATTCGATGTACCCTAACAAGATATTTCTCTATCAAAGAAAACACTTGCAAACACTGACGTAATTTTATTGAAATATTATCAACACCAGACTCAGATATTTATTTCTTCTGCAAATTGACAAATACACAGCAACACTTTTATCAGATCCAGTGTATATTAAAACCATTAGTGGGAATTAGGTGGTTCTGGTCAGAAGCATTTTCAATTTTTCTTTCCGTTCTGTGTCCTCATTTGAAAAACAAAAAAGACACTCCATCTAGTTGTGTAAATGTCTAAAGAAAAGCTGAACACATTCAAATCGCTAGATTCCCCATAAAGAGTTAATCCTCTCATGTATGAAATAGATTTCTGGTGGCTTAGGAAGATTGGACTTTACCTCTGGTAACCATCCTATTCTTTGTTTTTCTGAATTCAATATTGTAATTTATTTTTTATTTTAAAACTTTTAATTGATAATAATTTTACATGAGGTACAAAATGATATTTTGATATATGTATGCACTATATAATTAAGTGTTATACACTATGTAATTACACACTATAATTATTATATACTGTATAATTAATTATACACTATATAATTAAGATAACACCTCACCTCACCTACTTATTTTTTGTGGTGAGAACATTTAAAATCTACTTTCAGCAATTTTGAAATATACATAAAATAAATTACTATTAACTATGCCATCTAGGCTTTTCTATAGATCACTAAAAGTTATTTCTCCTATCTAACTGAAACTTTGTATCCTTTGACCAATATTTCTCTTTTGCCTATCCCCCCAACCTATCCTCTGGTAACCACCATTCTGCTCTCTGCTTGTATGAGTTTGACTTTTTTATATAGCACATACAAATGAGATTATGCAATATTTGTCTTTCTGTGTTTAGCTTATTTCACTTAGCATAATATCCTCCAGTTTCATTCAGGTTGTTCAAAATGCCAGAATTTACTTCGTTTTTAAGGCTCTACAGTATTTAATTGTGTGTATATACTGCGTTTTCTTTATCCATTCATACACTGATGGACACTTAGGTTGCTTCACATCTTGGCTATTGTGAATAATGCTGAAATGAATGTGAAAGTGCAGATATCTTTTCAACATACGATTTCAATTCTTTTGTATATATACTCAGAAGTGGGATTGCTGGATGATATAATTCTATTTTTACTTTTTTGAGGAATTTCCACACTGTTTTCCAAAATGGCTGTACCTAATTTGCATTTCCAATAAGAGTGTAGCAGACTTCCCTTTCCTTTTCTCCACATCCTCACCAACACTTGCTACGTTTTGTCTTTTTGACAACAGACATTCCAGCAGGTGTGAGGTGACATCTCATTATGGTTTTGATTTGCATTTCCCTGATGATTAGTAGTGTTGTGTTGTGTATTTTTTCATATATTTCTTGGCCATTTTTGTTGTCTGTTCAGGTATTTTACCCATATTTTATTATATGCTTTTTGGCTATTGAGTTGTTTGAATTCCTCATATATTTTGGATTAGCTCTGTATCAAATGTATGCTTCACAAACATTTTCTCTCCATCCTTGTGTTGTCTCTTTTCATGGTTAACTCTTTCCTTGGCTGTGAGGAGCTTTTTGATTAAGACAATCTCATTCATCTATTTTTCCATTTATTGTACCATCTTCAATTTCTTTCATCAAAGTTTTAGAGTTTTCAATATTCAGATCTTCTACCTCCCTGGTTAAATTTAACCTTAAATATTTACTTTTGTTTGATGCTGTTATAAATTGAATCATTTTCTTAATTTATTTTAGAATAGTACATTGTTAGTGTATAGAAATGCTACTGATTTTTGCATGTTGATTTTGTATCCTGAAACTTTAATGAATTTATTAGTTTTAGTAGTTTTATTTGGTGGAATTTTTAGTTTTCTATGTATAAGATCATGTAATCAGCACACAGAAACAATTTCACTTCTTCCTTCCTTATTTGGATGACTTTTACTTATTTTTCATGACATGTTGTTCTGGCTCAGACTTCCAGTACTGCGTTGAATAGAAGTAGTGAGAGTTGGTATTCTTTTCTTGTTCCTGATCTTAGAGGAAAAGTCTTCAACTTTTCATCACTGATTATGTTAACTGTGAGTTTGTTACTTATAACCTTTGTGGTGTTGAGTTTGCTTTTCTTCTATACCTATTTTGTTGAGAGTTTAAATCACAAAAGGGTGTTGAATTTTGTCGCATGCTTTGCCCTATCTATTCAGATGATCATGTGGTTTTGTCCTTCATTCTGATAATATCATGTATAACTTATCGATTTATATATGTTGATCCATTTATTCATTCTATGGATTAATCCCATGTAATCATGGAGAATCATTTTTTAATGTGCTGTTGAATTTAGTTGGCTAGTACTTTGTTGAAAATTTTTACATGTATGTTCACTAGGGATATTGGCCTGTAGTTTTTTGTATTGTATTGTCTTCGTCTTTGTTATAAGGGTAATGTTGGTTTTATAAAATAAGTTTGAAAGTGTTTCCTATTCTACAATTTTTTGGAAGAATTTGAGAAAGAAAAGTTTTATTTCCTCTCTAAATGTTGCATGAAATTCAGCAATGAAGCCATTAGGTCCTAAGCTTCTCTTTAATGAAAAAATTTTATTACTGATTTAATCTTTTTACCAGTTTTCGGTCTTTCCAGATTTTATATCTTTTTCATAATTCAGTCTTGGTTGTTTCTAGGAGTTTATCCATTTCTTCTAAGTTATCCAAATTGTTGGTGCATAACGGTTCACAGTATTTTTATATGGACCTTTGTATTTCTTCATAAATATTTATTAATTTTGTTTTTAATATTCTTTCTGCATGCATCTATGTGCATTCATACATTGTAAGTCAAAAAAACATAATTTTTTTTGCTTTGAAAAAATGAACCAGAAGTGAACAAGTGAAATTTTAAATTAAAAATACTTTACCAGTGACATTAGCACCACAAAAATGAAATAGATGTAAATCTAATGAAATATGCAAAAGATGTATATGAGGGAAACTGCAAAAATCTTGTGAAAGAAATCAAACAAGAAGTAAATAAAGTGAGAGATATTCTATGTTTATGCATAGGACAACTGTAAAGCAAGCTAATTTTCAATTGTGATTATGATTATTCTCATCGCTTTGCAGTCACATCTAGCATATTAATGCCTTGTATTTGATTTCGTTTCTTCAACCTGACACACCCAACATTCAAAGGTAGAAAATTGTGACTTAACCATTGTTTTAGGAACCAAATCTTGTTCTCTTTGTAAACGATTCTTTCTAGCACCTTCTTATCGCTTCACTGTCTTGATGTCCTCATGATTCCTAACCACTGTAGAGGTTAACATCTACACTTGATCTTAGCCAAAAGGCTGAGAAGTGATATAGAAGTTAACATCTAACAACAAACAATTGTTGAATGACAACTATGTGTCAGGTACTGTGAGAGGCTCTAAAATTATAGATAACAATCTCCATCCTCAAGTTGCATAGATACTAATGAGAAAGGCAGATAAGCCAAGAGTTACAGGAGTTGTGAATAAATTCTGAATGACTTCCTAGAAATTTCTCTGAGAGCAGAGTGGAGGCATACCTAATCTTTCACTGGTATTATCTATGTTAGCTATTTATAATTGTGTAACATATTAACATAAATTTAGCAGCTCAAAACAATACTCATTTATTATATCATAGTTCCCATGAGTCAGTAGTCTAGGCAAGTCTTCGATGGGACATCTGCTGAGAGTCTCACACATTTTCAGTCAAGGTATTTCCCAGAATTTCCTAGTATATATGGATTGTTTGCACATGAAAAATAATATGGACTATTAAATATGTAAAATAAAGTTTAATTATATTTAAAATTAATTTTCATAAAATTAATTTTTTATAAAATTACATATGAAGTGGTTGCATAAAACTCTAAATCTTGTTTCTCTTTTCAGTTAAAAGAATATTTCTTTTAACTGAATTTTCCAACATAAAATTTTGTGAGAAATAAAAACTAGAATGTGATTAGTGGTTTGATCAAATGCTTCTGAGTCCCCTTGTTATATAATTCATAACATTGCCTTAGAAAACTGCTAATGTTAATTTATAGTAGCATTGTAATGAAGTCAATTTCATTCTTTAAAGTAGACTATTGGAATATTAACATTCTATTCTGTAATTCTTATATCAGTTAAGATATAATTGCACTTAATTTGGCATCTGAATTTATTAAATCATAACTTTTGATTGCACATACTTTGTATTGCCTGAGAAAATATTATGAAAAAAGAGCAATCATGAACTCCTATTGCTGTCAAATTAGATAAACTATTTGCAATCTAATAGATTACAATGAATTATAAATACTTATGTAGAAAATGTATCTATTAATTTATTAATTCAATTATATTAGTACGTATATTAAAAAGCAATTATACACTTAAATGTATATTTGACCAATCTAGAACCCAGCCTACTTTGCTCCTGTTCTAATAAATGTGCAATAACAATTTTGCCATTAAGAACCACATGCTTAAACCTATAAAGTAATTTGGCCTCTATTTGATATCTTTACCTTTGTACAACAGAAACATTTCTACTAACACTGCTATCAAAAAAAGGTCGTTTGTTTTATTTTAGGTGACGTATTTGAACTTTCAAATAAAATGAAATGATTTATATAAATTACCTTCAAAAATAGTAAGATTCTACAGAATTTTCCAGTAAGATTCTTGGAAATTCTAAGTTAGAGGAAACCCTACAAAACCTCCCCCAATATTAAATGCCAGAAATCTAAAGCAATGTCTGCTCTCCTGTGAATGGGAGATTAAATGTTAGAACCTTGAGCAGAATCATGACTCAGTCCTGGAGGAAATCCACTTTCTGGGAGAAACGGTTACTGGACCCCCAAACATAGCACACAAGGACCGCAAAACACACAGCACTGAATTAACACAGCCCTGGCCACTGTCTTTGCTGTGGTGACAAGCGTGTGAACATCTACTCTGTTTAGTCCTTATTTCCTAAGTAGGAAATCAACAGACATTGCTCAGCTTTTGTGCCTGGAGGAAAAGGAGCAGCAAGTATGGGCATCAAGTATTAATATAAAGGGAAAAGGAGGGTATGCTTGACCTCGGGGCTAGGTTAAGGTAAGATTCCAGTTGCAGCCACTTGCAATGGCATAGCCAATCCTATCTCATCAAACCTTTGGGCCTTTTTTTTTGGCAACAACGACTCCTACTCCTTGTTACACTTACCTCTCAGGCTTTTGTTGCCCTTTTTGGTGTACAAATGGTTTGGTTAGAAACAATTGAGATGATAGTCCAGGCATTTCTGTTTAAAGGAAGCCCAGGTGAGAGTCAGCATCCCTCAGCAATTTATGCAAATTAGTCTAATTCCACCCTTGAGATCTACATACAAAAGGGAGTTTCAGCCTTGCCAAATCAAATGAAAGGCCAACAGGAGAAAAGGTGTTCAATCCCAGGCAGAAGACTCTGTAAGGTCTTCTGGTGATTTATGTCATGAAACAATTCGGTCTAAGGGTATACCATGCCAGTTGTTAAATATACTGAATTTCACTCTGGCCTTCTTTTTTATGTTCATTCATGTTATAGCGTGTATCAATATTTTATTCCTTTTAATGGCTGAATAACATTCAATTTTGTGGATATTTCACATTTTTGTTATCCATTCATCAGTTGATGGACATATGATGTATAATACTTTTTTGTGATCCTAAATGTCTCAAAATGGAGTCACTTATGACAAATGACTCAGATCACAGTAAAAATACTGACCTCAGAGAATAAGTATATGAATGGTGGACTGAGGTAATAAGATAACACTTGCTGTGGCCAGGCACTCCTGAAACCTGAGAAGACGATGGAGCCAAAAGGCAGCTGAGCTAGCTATGGACATTTCTCTGGCGGATCATAAAAAATGCAAAGAAACTTACCGTGGCCAACACCTGCAGAAACTCTTCCCTTTTATGTCTGCAGCAATGGCTGAAAGTCCTGCTAAGAGAAGAGCAGCAACCACTTCCTTCCGGCTCCTCCAATGGAGTTAGCACAACTAGGCTGATTAGAACCTGACAGGAGAACACATGGGTTATTTTTACCTTTTGGCTATTGTGAATAGTGTTGCTATAAAAATTCGTGTAGAAGTTTTTCTTTGAATATCTGTTTTCTATTCTTTTGAGAATATACCTCGCAGTGGAACTGCTAGGTCCTATGGTAATTCTGTGTTTAACTTTTTGAGTAATCTGCAAACTATGTTCCACAACAGATACACCATTTTACATTTCTACACACAATGTATAAGGGCTACAATTTTTCTACATTCTTGCTAACACTTGTTATAATTTTTATTTTGATTGTAGCCATCTCATTGGGTGTAAAGCAGTATCTCATTGTGGTTTTGTTTTGCATTTTCCTAATGATAAATTATGCTGAGCATCAATTCATTTGTGTGTTGGTCATTTGTATATTTTCTTTGGAGAAAAGCCTATTAAAATCTTATGCCCGTTATTTTTTTGTTTTGTTTTCTGTTGTTATTACAGTATTTTATATATTCTGGTTATTAATTTTTTAACAAATATATAATTTACAAATATTTTCTCTAATACTGTGGCTTTTCTGTTCTCTTGATAGTGCACGTATTAGTCAGGGTTTTCCAGAGAAACAGAACCAATAAGAGATGGATGGATGGATAGATAGATAGATAGATAGATAAACAGATAGATAAAGAGGGAATTTGTTATGGGAATTGGCTCACACAATTATGGACACAAGAATTCCCATGATATATCATCTGCAAGCTGGAGAACCAGGAAAGCTGTCGGTGTAATTTAGACTGAATCTGAAGGCTTGATAACTAGGGACACTGCTGGTGTAAGTCATGGAGTCCAAAGGCCCATGAACCAGGAACTCTGATGTTTGAGGGCAAAATAAGATGGATATCTTAGCCTAGGAAAAGAGAGTTAATCCTCCACTTTTCCACTGTCAGAACTCTCAACAGATTGGATGATATCCACCCACATTAGTGAGGGTATATCTTCACCCAGGCTGGAGTGCAGTGGCGCAATCTCAGCTCACTGCAACCTCCACCGCCCTGGGTTCAAACAATTCTCCTGACTCAGCCTCCCAAGTAGCTGGAATTACAGGCACCCGCCACCACGCCCAGCTAATTGTTGTGTTTTTAGTAGAGACAGGGTTTCACCATGTTTCCCAGGCTGGTCTCGAACTCCTGACCTCAGGTGATCCACTGGCCTCGGCTTCCCAAAGTGCTGGGATTACAGGCATGAGCCACAGCAGTTTGCTGATTCAAATGTCAGTCGCTTCTGGAACACCCTCACAGACACACTCAGAAAGAAACTTTTACCTGCTATCTGAATATCTGTTTTTAAAGTAACGGCAAGAACCGCAATTACTTTTGCACCAACCTAATACCTTCACATTTTATTCTTGTCCCCATCTATGTCTTCTCTCCTTCCGTAACTTTCATTATGCATATGTTAATGTGTTTGATGGTGTCCCACAGGTCTCCTGGGCTTTGTTAACTTATTTTTTTTTCCTCTGTTCTCCTCAGACTGGATAATCTGAATTGTCCTATTTTCAAATTTGTCGATTATTTGTTCTGTCTTATTATGCCGTTTTTCTTTTCTACTAAACTTTTTGTCTGTTATTATACCATTCAGCCCCAGAGATTCTAGTTGGATTATTTTTATATTTTTCATGTTTTTATTGATATTTTCTTTCTTTCATACATGTGTGTCCTTTGTTCCTTTAGTTATTTGTCCATGGTATTTTTTTAGTTCTTTTAGCATATTCAAGACAGTTGATTTAAAGTCTCTTTGGAAGTTCGGTATTTGGCCTTCCTCAGGGACTGTTTCTACGTTTCCATTCATTTATTTTGTGTATTTATGATTGGGATATACTTTCTTTTTTCTTTGCTTGCCTCATGATTTATTTTGAAAATTGAACATTCGGAATATTGTAAAAAACTGTGAGTTTTTTATTAGATCTCAGAATTTTGAAAAAAAATGATTCTGAGTTGCAATATTAGAAAACAAATTATTCTACCTCCTAAGGGTTTGTTCTGCTGGTTGTTGTAGTTACTTTTCATTAAGTGACTTTTATGAACTGTTTTTATAAAGTGTATATATTTTGCATGTGTGGAAATTGATGTGTTTGTTCCATTAGCTTAGTAATCAGCTAGAGATCTGGCAAACAATACCTAAAATGCCATAAGGCAAAAATAAATAAATATTTAAATATCTTCCAGTCTTTGCAAATTGGGTCTGTGTTGGGACACCCCTACAAAGCTTAGCTAGGTTGTTTATAACTCTATCTTAACATTTAATTTCTGCTTGCACAGAGCTTAGCTATTAGCTAGTAGTGAAAGCTCATGGTCTTCGTACTTATTTTCCGAGTATGCATTTTTGTCCTGGGAATGTATATGGCCTCCTAGGTTCCCCAACATACACCAAAACTTTTAAAAGTACTTATTGCTTCAAGTATCTTCTCTCCCAGCTTCTTTTTTTACCAGGCTTCTCATTCTGTCGAATGTTGGCATCAGTTTTAGTCCTTTACCCCAGGTGGCTGTAGCTAATACTTTTGCATTTAACATTTGCTTTTGACAAATGTTGCTCAAGAAGCCACTTCAGCCCTGGCAATGCTTTATGCAAGTTTAACAAACACAAGCTCTTGAGCTAATCCTTCAGAGGTATATCAGACATGTCAAAACACACAACCCTTTTGCTTTGAGAATAATGTGTATATTGCTCTCTCTAGTACCAGAAACTTTTAACAGGTATGTGGATTCTTCCATTCATGGCTACTGCCAAGCTGAGGAGTAGGTTATAAAAAATGATTAGGTTAAAACACCAAAATATTCTCTTATCAATATTCAACAGCTTTTTTTTAATTGAGTTTTCCTGATTGCTGTGAGTTTTTTATTAGATCTCAGAATTTTGAAAAAAAAATTGATTCTGAGTTTGTGCCAGCCTGTCTATTATTTTATGGAGGGACAAAGTTTTAATAGTTTTTACTGTGCCATTTTTGATGACTTACAAAAGTTATTTTTATATCAGAAGGAACTGAGTATTGTGTGAAAGTAGTTTTCTTTTTTTCCTCATAATTTCAATGGTAATTCACAATCTATTTGCTCTTTGATTTTGATTCAACTTATTACAACTGTTTCTCTTTTGTTTTTGTTGGTAGCTACTCTCCTCTCTACATGCCTATACCACTGACTTCTCTGGTTAACATAGAAAAAATAAAATCTCATCCTGTCAATGAACATTTGGGAAGAATTATTAACCTCATGATGACCATAGGAATTTGGGGAAACGTTACATGAAAACTGTAGTCTCAAATCAAAATAGTAATTGTTCAGAAAATTACACATAATATGAGTCTCCTCTACATTGGTGTATCTTCTCCCACTTTAGTCACCCTAATTCATTTCCTTATTGTTATCATATCATTATCATCCCACGCTCAACAATCACATACTCCTTAAACAAATGTGAGGATAAAATCTGGGAATCAAAAATCTGTACACATGTGGTAGTTATTTATTATTAGGCATCTTCTCTGAGTTTCTTATCAATGGTACTACCACTTAGTCTGCCAGGTTCTGTATGCTTTGGAGGTACAAATATTTTAGTACCAAGCAACACCACTTCAAATGCCATATACTAAATGAAGAAATAGTAATTTCTATTGGTCTACACCCATGCTAATTTTATAGACCTGATTACTATTGCAAGAAACCTTAGAATATGGAAAAGGAATACAGCAAATTTTAAAGTTTGACATTTTTAAGCTAGATTCTCAAGAATTTTAATTTATTATTTTGTTTATTACTCCCCAGGGTTTAATTTACCAAAAAAATACAGCAAGTATTCTAGGCTTGAGGACAGTAAATACCAAAGAAAGGATATGATTCCTGCCCTCAGAGTAGTCACATTAAAGTGAAGGAAGCAACCTTGTATAGGACTAATCTAACTTACAATTAAACTGTTTTAATTTGGAGTAGGCGCCCTCTCCAGGTGGATGGTAAAAGTTTACTGAGCACATATTTCATTCATAAAAATAAAAAAAAAAATGCATCTTTTGCTTCAGTGTATGCAACCTTGTACTGAGCGATCCTTGCCCTCAACAAGGTGCTCCTTGCAAGGCATCATCTATGCTAGTGTACATGGTGTCCTTAAATATGTCCACTAATTTCTATAACACACACAGAGCATGACAATTTGTATAACAAAAGGAGGAATTTATTTGTTTATAATGGTACAGACAAGAGATAACTGATAAACAAATATGTTTGATCAAAGAGAATGAGTAGAAATTTGTCAGATAAACAATGAGATGATCAAGAGAGATGTGTTAGGGAGAAGACCACGAAAAGAGCAAGGCAAAACAGGTAAGCATGAAATTTGACGGACTCTTGACCAGAGAACTCTGAGAATGGTTTGGAATAAGTGACAACAAATTGTTTGCTTAGATAAGATAAAGTGATATTGAAAAGAGCAGTAAAGTTCAAATTGAATAAATTAGGTTTTGTTTTACTGAAGGTATTGAGCATAGATATAATCTGATTTCATCTTTGTTTTATAGTCTCTGTAGCCAATATTGGGTGTATATTCATTTGAAGACAAAAACGGGAATCAGGGAGACTGGCTAATTGGATCTTGCAATCTATTCTCTGCTGCCTTTCATTTTTTTCTATGATTCTGGAAAGGAATATGCAAATCTACTGTTTGATTACTAGCAGTAGAAACAGAAAAAGGACTGTAAGAAGCAATGGTAAAAGAAAATGTGACAAAACTTGATTTGATAAAAGAAAGAGGAAGAAGAAAATGGGGTATAAGGGAGAACTGTAAAGATGAATCTGGCTGTAAAAATAAATATTAATAAGGGTATGGATGATATTCAGATTTGAAGGCAGGCAAATTTTCATTTGCTTGCAGAGCAAATAAATGGCAAATTTTTTAATCAAATATTTTTTTTTCCAAGAAATATGGTAATAATGGGCAAGAGAGGAAGGGTGTTCATTTTATTCTCACAATAACATCCAGAGTCTAAATACAGCTTTCTGGTATTTGCTAGAGAATGTCATACCACGTACTCTGTATTTTTATTAAGCAACCTGTTTATATGTTATTCCATTTAAATATGTATTACTTTCTGCAAGTGTTTGTGAAGTAATCTCTCAGGAATGCAGTTAAGATTCTGTAAAAATGACGGAATTTACTCAGTATAGTCATCCAAACCTTTTTTTAAAATTTACTTAACTTTTATTTTAAATTCAGGGGTACATATGCAGGTTTATTACATAGATAAATTTGTGTCTTGAGGGGTTGTTCTGCAGATTATTTTGTCACTCAGGTATTAAGCATAGATTATTTTTCCTGGTTCTCTCCCTCCTCCCACCCTCCTCCCACTGATAGGTGCCAGTGTCTGTTATTCTCCTCTATGTGTTCATGTGTTCTCATCATTTGGCTCCTGTGGTCTCATCATTTAGCTCCCACTTATAAGTGAGAACATGCAGTATTTGGTTTTCTCTTCCTGTGTTAGTTTGCTTAGGATAATGGCCTACAGCTGCACCCATGTTGCTGCAAAGGAGATAATTTCATTCTTTTTATGGCCGTATAGTATTCTATGGTATATATGTACCACAATTTCTTTAGTCTACCACTGACAGGCATTGAGATTGATTTCATGTCTTTGTTATTGTGAATAGTGCTGCAATGAACATGTGCACACATGTGTCTTTATAATAAAATGATTTCTATTCCTTTGGGTATATACCCAGTAATGGGAATGCTGGGTGGAATGGTATTTCTTTTTTTAGCTACTTGAGGAATCAGCACACTGTCTTCCACAATGGTTAAACTAACTTAGACTCTCACCAACAGTGCATAAGCATTTTTTCTCCACAACCTCACCAGCATCTGTATTTTTTGACTTCTTAAGAATAGCCATTCTGACTGGTGTAAGATGGTATCTCATGTGGGCTGCAATTTGCATCTCTCTAATGATCAGTGATGCTTTCTTCATATGATTGTTGGCTGCATGTATGTCTTCTTTTGTGTAGGGGTTCAGTCAGGATGGTGGGGAAAATTATAAAATAAAACACGAACCTTCTTGGAAGGCCAAAAGGTTTTTGCATAGCTTCAGATAGTTTGGCTGAGAGCAGCCAGTCTCTTTGCAGGAACCAGAGTGCTTAGGGCCCAGATACAAAGGAATGTAGAGTAGTTTATCTAAAGAGCTTGTTTACTCATGTGGTCCTAAAGCTAACCTTTGATTACTCATGGGCAGGATGGCTCTCTCGGGGGTAGGTAACCAGGTTGATTACCCTCTAATAGTGTTGACTTAAAGCTTTTGTCATTTAATGTGTGCTAAATAAATGCCAAGAAGGCCAGCTAGCTGGGGCCGTGGCTGACAGCACTCTCCTTAGAGTCTGTAAGTGGCCTGGATACTTGGCCGGTCTGACAAGCAGAATATCTGTGTCAGTGTACATTATGCATCTGTCATTGAATCAGGATATGCAAGACAGACTCCTGCACTTTTGAAAAGTGTCTATTCATGTACTTTAACCATATTTTAATGGTGTTTTGTTTTTCTTTTGTAAATTTAAGTTTCTTGTAGATGCTGGATATTAGACCTTTGTCAGATGCAGTTTGTAATAATTTTCTCCCATTCTGTAGGTTGTCTGTTTACTCTGTTGATAGTTTCCTTTGTTGTGCATAAGCTCTTTCATTTAATTATATACCACTTGATAATTTTTGCTTTTGTTCCAATTACTTTTGGTATCTTCATCATAAAATTTTTGTCCATTCCTATGTCCAGAATGGTATTGCCTAGGTTGTCTTCTAGGGTTTTTATTATTTGGGGTTTCACATGTAAGTCTTTAACCATAATGAGTTAATTTTTTATATGATGTAATGAAGTGGTCCAGTTTAATTTTTCTGCATATGGCTAGCCAGTTATCACAGCACCATTTATTGAACAGGGAATCTTTTCCCCATTGCTTGTTTTCAGGCTTGTCAAAGATCAGATAGTTCTAACTGTTCAGCCTCATTTCTGGACTCTCTATGCTGTTCCATTGGTCTATGTGTCTGTTTTTGTACCAGTACCATGCTGTTTTGTTTACTGTAGTCCTGCAGTATAATTTGAAGTTGGATAGTGTGACGTCTCCAGCTTTATTCTTTTTGCTTAGGATTACCTTGGCTATTCAAACTCTTTTTTTGGTAACATATGAATTTTAAAATATTTTTTCCTAATTCTTTGAAGAATGTCAGTGGTAGTTTAGTGGGAATAGCTTTGAATCTGTAAATTGCTTTGGGTAGTAAGGCCATTTTAATGATACTGATCCTTCCTATCCATGAGCATGGAATGCTTTTTCATTTGTTTGTGTCATCTCCAATTTCTTTGAGGAGTGTTTTGTAGTTCTCCTTGTAGAGATCATTCACCTCCCTGGCTAGTTGTATTACTAAGTATTTGTTTTTTTTATGTGACAGTTGTGAATGAGATTGCACTCCTGATGTGGCTCTCAGCTTGACTGTTTTTGGTGTGTAGGAATGTTAGTGATTTTTGCATATTGATTTTCTATCCTGAGACTTTGCTGAAGTTGTTTATCAGCTTAGGGAGCTTTTGGGCTGAGACTATAGGGTTTTCTAGATATAAGATCATGTCACCTGCAAACAGTGATAGTTTTACTTCCTCTCTGCTTATTTTGGATCCCTTTATTTTTTTCTCTTGCCTGATTGCCCTGGCAAGGACTTCCAATACTATTTCGAATAAGAATGGTGAGAGAGGGCATCCTTGTCTTGTGCTGGTTTTCAAGAGGAATTCTTCAAGCTTTTGCCTGTTCAGTATGATGTTAACAGTAGGTTTGTCACATATGGCTCCTATTATTCTTAGGTATGTTCCTTCAATATCTAGTTTATTGAGAGTTTTTAACATGAAAGGATGTTAAATTTTATTGAAAGCCTTTTCTGCATCTATTAATATAATCTTGTGTTTTTTTTCTTTAGTTCTGTTTGTGATGAGTCATACTTATTGATTTGTGTAGGTTAAACCAACTGTGCATTAAAGAAATAAAGCCTACTTGATCATGGTGGATAAGCTTTTTGACGTGTTGCTGAATTCCATTTGCCAATTTTTTTTGATGATTTTTGCATCAATGTTCATAAAGGATATTGGCCTAAAGTTTTCTTTTTTTTTTTTTTTGGTTGTGTCTCTGCCAGGTTTTGGTATCAGGATAATGTTGGCCTCATAGAATGAGTTACGGAGGAGTCCCTCCTCCTCAGTTTTTTGGAATACTTTCAACAGGAATGGTAGCAGCTCTTCTTTGTACATCTGGTAGAATTCAGCCACGAATTTGATCCTGGGCTTTTTTTTGTTGGTAGGCTATTTATTACTGACTCAATGTCAGAGCTTCTTATTAGTCTTTTCAGATATTAAATTTCTTCCTGGTTCAGTCTTGGGAGCATGAATGTGTCCAGGAATTTATTCATTCTTCTAGATTTTCTAGTTTTTATGCATAGAGGTGTCCATAATATTCTCTGATGATTGTTTTTATTTCTGTGGGGTCAGTGATAATATCTCCCTTGTCCTTTCTGATTGTGTTTATTGAATCTTCTATTTGTTCTTCTTTATTAGTCTAGCTAGCAGTTTATCTATTTTATTAATTTTTTCAAAAAAAAACAACTTCTGGATGTGTTGACCTTTTGAATGGTTTTTCATGTCTCAACCTCTTTCAGTTCAGCTCTGCTTTTGGTTGTTTCTTGTCTTCTGCTAGCTTTGGGATTTCTTTGCTCTTGGTTCTCTAGTCTTTTAGTTGTGATGTTTGGTTGTTAACCTGACATCTTTTTTACTTTTTGATGTTGTCATTTAGTGCTATATATTTCCCTCTTAACACTGCCTTAGATTCATGCCATAGATTCTGGTATGTTGCATATTTGTTGTCATTAGTTTCAAATAACTTGATTTCTGCCTTAATTTCATTATTTACTCAAAAGTCATTCAGGAGCAAGTTATTCAATTTCCATGTAATTGTATGATTTTGAGTGAATTTCTTTTTTTTTTTTTAGATGAAGTCTCATTCTGTCGCCAGGCTGGAGTGCAGTGACACGATCTCAGCTCACTGCAACCTCCACCTCCTGGGTTCAAGCGATTCTCCTGCCTCAGCCTTCTGAGTAGCTGGGACTACAGGCGTGTACCACCATGCCCAACTGATTTTTGTGTTTTTAGTAGAGACGGGTTTTCACCATGTTGGCCAAGATGGTCTCGATCTTTTGACCTCTTGATCCACCCGCCTCAGCCTCCCAAAGTGCTGGGATTACAAGCATGAGCCATCATGCCCGGCTGAGTGAATTTCTTAGTCTTGAGTTTATTTCACTGAACTGTGGTCTGCGAGATTATTTGGTATGAATTCAGTTCTTGTGCATTTTCTGAGGAGTGTTTTACTTCTGATTATGTAAACAATTTTAGAGTAAGTACTGTGTGGCAATGAGAAAAATGTATATTCTGTAGTTTTTGAGTGGAGTATTCTGTGTGTATCTACCAGGTCCACTTGATCCAGAGCTGAGTTCAAGTCCTGAATGTCTTTGTTAATTTTCTGTCTCAATTATCTGTCTGAGATTGTCAGTGGGGTTGTTAAAGTCTCCCACTATTATTGTGTGGGTGTCTAAGTCCCTTTGAAGGTCTCTAAGTACTGGCCTTGTGAATCTGGGTGCTCCTGTATTGGGTGCATATATATTTAGGATAGTTAGCTCTTCTTGTCGAATTGGACCCTTTACAATTATGTAATGCCCTTCTTTGTCTTTTTTTGATCTTTGTTGGTTTAAAGTCTGTTTTGTCAGAAACTAGGATTGCAACTCTTGCTTTTTTTTGTTTTCCATTTGCTTGGTAAATTTTCTTCCATCCTTTTATTTCGAGCCTAGGTATGTCTTTCATGTGAGATGGGTCTTTTAAAGGCAGCATACTACTGGGTCTTGTTTCTTTGTCCATCTGTCCACTCTGTCTTTTAATTGGGGCATTTATACCATTTACATATAACGTTAGTATTGTTATGTGTGGATTTGATCCTGTCATCATGATGCTATCTGGTTATTTTGCAGAGTTGTTTATGTGGTTGCTGCACAGTGTCACTTGTCTGTGTACTTCAGTGTGTTTTTGTAGTGGCTCATAACCATTTTCCTTTCCATATTTAGTGCTTCTTCCAGGAACTCTTGCAAGATGAGTCCAATAGTAATGAATTCCCTCAACATTTGCTTGTCTGAAAATAATCTTATTTTTCCTTCACTTATGAATCTTAGTTTGACTGGATAGATATGAAGTTCTGAATTAATTTTTTTCTTTAAGAATGTTGAATATTGGCCCCCAATCTCTTCTAGCTTGTAGGATTTCCACTGAGGAGCTTGCTGTTAGTCTGATGGGCTGTCCTTTGTACATTACCTCTGCTTTGTCTATTCTGCTATTAATACGTGTGATTACATTTTGAAGTTCTTGTAGTGTGTTTTTCAGCTCTAACAGGTCAGTTATCTTCCTTTCTAAACTGACTATTTTGGCTGTCAGCTCCTGTATTGTTTTATCCTGATTCTTAGCTTCCTTGCATTGGGTTACAACATGCTCCTTTAGCTCAGTGAGGTTTGTTATTACCCACCTTCTGCAGCCTACTTCTGTCATTTCAGCCATCTCAGCCTAAGCCTAATTCTGAGCCCTTGCTGGAGAAGTGTTGCAGTAATTTGGAGAAAAAGGCACACGCTGGCTTTTTGAGTTTTCAGCATTTTTGCATTAATTCTTTCTCATCCTTGTGGGCTTATCTACTTTTGATCTTTGAGGTTGCTGATCATTGGATGGGGTTTTTGGGTTTTGTTGCTGTTGTTTTCTGTTTGTTTTTCTTTTAACAGTTTGGGCACTCTTCTGTAGGGTTGCTGTGGTTTGTTAGGAGCCTGCTCCAGACCCTAGTTGCCTCATTTTTTCTCATACCTGGAGGTATCACCAGTGAGGGCTGCAAAATGCCAAAGATGACGGCCTGCCCTTTCCTCTGGAAGCTCTGTCTCAGGGGGGTTCTGACCTATTGCCAACCCAAACGTGCCTGTGGGAGGTGACTGGAGGCCCTGGTTAGGAGGTCTCACCCAGTCAAGAGGAATGGAATCAGGGACTCACTTAAAGAAGCAATCTGGCTGCTTTTTGGTAGAGTAGTGGTGCTGGGTTAGAGACCCCTTCAGCCCCTGATCAGCTTGAGCTTTCGAAGGCCTACAGGCTAAACCGGCTGAGAAGCCTGAATGGCTAAGCTGGTGGCCTGCCCTGCCCCTCAGGCACTCCATCTTAGGGAGAATATGGGTGGCCAGAGGCCCTGGCTGGGAGGACCCAGCTGGGGGAACCCCCCCCCCCCCACTAGAAGGAGTGGATTGGGGTCCTGCTTAAAGAAGCAGTCTGGCCATGCCTCGATAAAACAGCTGTGTCATGGTGGGGAACCGCCTCTGCCCCTGTTGGCTTATACTCTACAAAGCCCATAGGCTGGAATGGCTGAGTCGTTTGACATACGCAAGTGGTGGTCCTCACCCTGACTCAGGCATTCTGTCCCAGGGAGAGATCAGAGCTCTGCCCCTAATACATGCTGACAGGCATAGCTGGAAGGTCTGGCTGGGAGGTCCTGTCCAGTGAGTAGGAATGGATCGCGGCCTGGCTTAAAGAAGCAGTCTGCTGTGATCTGGCAAAGCCGTGGTGTTGCACTGCTGGGGGGCCCTTCCTCATCTGGACTGTTTGGACTCTCCAAACCCCGCAGACTGGAACTGCTGTGTCATCCAACCAAGCCGTGTGGTGGCTTTCCTTTCCTCTGGGCACTCTGTCCCAGGTAGAGATCAGAGCTCTGTCCCTAATACATACTGGCAGGCATGGCTGGAGGGTCTGGCTAGGAGGTCTCACCCAGTGAGGAGGAATGAATCGGGGCCCTGCTTAAAGAAATAGTCTGTCTGTAATCTGGCAAAGCTGCAGTTTTGCGCTGCTGTGGGGGACCCTTCCTTGTCGAGAGCCTTTGGACTTTTCAAAGCCTGCAGTCTGGAATGGCTGAGTCAACCAAACAGCAGAGTTGGTGACTGTCCCTCTCCCCAGGGCTCCATCCAGTCTCAGGCAGGCTCCACACTCTTGCCAATGGTGGGCTGGAATTCCAAGTCAGTGGATCTTGTCTTGTGACATGCCATGGAAGTGGGGCCCACAGAATGATGCTGCTCAGCTCCCCAGATCCACCCCCTTCCTAGGGGTATGTGTAGACCTCCTGCCTTGCCTGAGTTGCAGACACATTTGTTGGAGACCCTGGGGTTGGAATATGTAAAGCTCCTGGGTTTCTGCGCATGCCCATGCAACTGCTCTGCAAAGACTCCACACCACTCTGTGTGTCACACCCAAGGCTTTGGTGGCATGGGCTCACCAGGGGATCTCCTGATCTGTGGGTTGCAAAGATCCATGGGAGAAGTGTGGTTTCCTGGGGTCACGCAGTCACTAACCACTTTTCTTGGCTGGGTGTGGGGGTTCCCTTGGCTTTGTGTCACTCCCTGCTGGGCTGTCACCCCACTCTGCCTTTCTTCTTTGTGTGTCTAGTTGTTTTCCTAATCAGTCCCAGTGTGAGAACCTGTATATTTCAGTTGAAGGTGCTATATTCACTCACCCCTTTCATTCCTCTCCATGAGTGCTGTGGACTACAGCTGCTTCTAATGGGCCATCTTGATGCATGTGTATTTTCACAAAGCTAGAAGGGAGGATTCTGAATATTTCCAACACAAAGAAGCAATGTTTGAGGTGATAGATGTGCTAATTACACTGATTTGATCATTACATATTGTATACATGTATCAAAATATCACACTGTACTCCATAAATATGTACAACTATTATGTGTCATTTAAAAAGTTTTAAAAAGTTAAAATTAAGATTCCATATGAAAAAAAAACACAGAAAAACCCAGTAAGGTATCTAGAAGAGGCATGTTTAAAAATACTTTAATAAATATTAGACTCTGACCCAACATGCAAAGATACTCCCTTCACAAATATCTAAGTATGCGTTGAGTAAAATTAGGATTGACTTCAATGATTTCTCATTTCCAGTTAAATTTTTGAAGTGTTTTAATAGTATTTCTATTTCAGTGAGTGTCAATGCTTTATCACATGAATGAGATGAGCATACCAAAATTAATTGTGCATCCAAAAGTTTTATGAATTCATAACAAAGTTGAGAAAATATTACTGCAGTGTCAGAAAACAGTGTAATTAACTTTTACATTCTAAGTTTTTACATCAGATTTACACATTGTAAAATACATTTGTAATTAGTGAAATATTCACTACGTTTATTTTAAATACTCTGAGCATTGCCTTAGCTTTAAAGCTAGAATAGAATGCTTAATTAACATATTAATAAGAAAGGTATAAATTATTATATAATTGCTTATCATTTAAGCTTCCTAATGATCAACATTAAAAAGTCTGTATGTGTAAGATTCCTTTTATATCTGTTTCAAAGTCATTTTACATATCTATATATGATATGTATAATATAAATACTATATGTATTACACATATTAAATTATATATACATATATTATAGATTGAAATATTATATTATATACTGTATATATGTAATATTATATAAGATATATAATATGTATGTATATAATATGTATTAATCCAGCACCTAAAAGCCAACAACTTCCACAAATTAATAAAATTGTGTCCAATTATCTTTCACGAAAGTACAAGAGTTCTGTGAAACCATATCTTGCTCATAATTTGGAAAATCACCAATTGATATTGGTTCAGAGTGGACAACTAAATCAGGTACCACAGAAAAGTTTGTGTGCCAAGCAATTCAGAGGAAACATTTCATTTGCAGATTTTCTGTTAATGACACTGAAGCTTCCGTGTAATCGTATTTGCAATCACAAATGTGCAGAACCACTGCTCCTGATGTCATTACAGCTACAATAACTATGTTTTTTCAATACATAATCATGTTTCATATGGAAAATGGGGTGATGTTTGGAATGGTTAATTACCAGTGCTAGCAAATTCTACAATGTAAAAGGGGCTATACAAAAATAGCACCGGATCCTGAAGAACCCCTGCTGTTCCAGGCCTTAACTCTTTAGTTACCAGGTCTCGAATGGGTCCAAGATCCAGAGGAAATTTTTGAGGCAGCTCTGGTACCAGATGGGGCACTGAGAATAGTAGCCAGCTATCAACTATCCAAGAAGTATGTCAAGATTTTATTCCCTGGAAAGTATCTACCACTGTGTGCCAGGTGAACACCAGCCCTGATTTTAGTTGAACCTCATCATACTAACTTACTGTACATATCTAATTGTCCTCGCATTTAGAAGGATGTTTAATAGATGTTAATCCATATATTATGTGTCCTCTCATCCACATATGTGGATAACATCCACTAAACACAAAAGACTTGTTATATAAGTAATGAATTTTATAACAATTGGTGTATAACAAATTTTAAATAATTTTATACAATTTTCTTAGTAAACAGATTATGTAATAGCAATAAAATACTCATTGGTAAAGCTGGTTCTCATAGTATTACCATTTAACAATACAGAGAGCACTATACATGTAAATTGAATTTAATGACTAAATACATGAATAGTAGATGATGGATATAAATTCATTACTGTTGGATTGGGAAGTTATAGAAAAGCAATGGGGCAAAGCTAGAATGATCTGCTTGGTACTGAATCAGAATTTTAGATGTCAGAAATAACTCATGTTTAGCTTTATATATATATATACAGATTGACATACACAGAAATATTTATAGCTATATGTACATGCAGAAGTTAGCATACACACATATATTTTCTTGCTCTGTCAGTTGAGAGGGCCTAGAAGCATCAAGACTTCAAATATAACTACCACCTATTTGCCAATAAAGAAGACCATTCTTCGGTAAACAGAACCAAGGCTTCTTGTAGAAATAGCCAATTCTAGGCTTGGGACAAGCAACATGCAAGATGATCCTGCAGCACCTTGTACTGATAGAAAGTAAGAAAAGCCTCAAAAAATAACTATGAGGCTGGGTGTGGTGGCTCATGCCTGTAATCCCAGCACTTTGGGAGGCTAGAGTTGGAGGATCTCTTGAGCCCAGGAGTTCAAGACCAGCCTGGGCAATATATCAAGATTCCGTCTCTACAAAAATATTTAAAAATTAGCTGGGTGTGGTGGTGCGTGCCTGTAGTCTCAGCTACTCAAGAGGCTGAGGTGGGAGGATTGCTTGAGCCTGGGAGGTTGAGGCTGTAGTGAGCCATTGCACTTCGGCAGCCTGGGTGACAACAACAACAACAAAGAAATAACTACAAAGATGACAAAGATGAAGATGTGTCAAAGGGGCACAGGAGCCAGCAGAAAAAGTTCCTATTTGCCAAAGCTGGAAAAACTTGAGGAACAAAATAAAGTAGTATAGAATTATAATTCAATATATAAAATAAATACCCAAGAATTCATAGTGATACAAATAAATGATTTAATAAATAAAATAAGTAAACAGGGGAGAATAGGTAATGCCCCTTTGCAGGACAATTTCACATAATTTATGTTGATATGCATACCCTTTAAGCAGATCATGCATAACTTCCCACTTCTATGGTAGGCAGAGTGTATTTACTTTATTCCAATAAGTATATGGAAAGGGGATATAGCATAACATTATAGTGGAAAAACCTGACAATCAGTACCTCAGGCAGGTGAACAAGATAGCAGACCTCATTCCTGCTATCAGGAATATCAGTTTATCACATATGATATGTACTGAGAATGGTATTTTATCTCCATGTTCTATTGCTCCGAAACCATGACATAAATCTAAAAATGAAAAACAAATCAGACAAAATTAAATGGAGAAAAACTGTACAAAATATCTAACCAGTACGTCTCAAAACTGTCTAGGTCATAAAAGCCAAGAAAAGACTGAGAAACTGATGCAGAAAAGTGGAGCTTAAGAAGATATGGCAACAGAATGTAATGTGGCATCCTAAATAGGATTCTCAAAGAGTAAAACGCCATTGGGGTAAAACAAAAAAATCCAAATGGAGTATAGACTCTGGCTAACAATAATATATTAATATAGTTGTATTAGTTGTGTCAAATCTGCTATGCCAATGTAAAATGTACCAATATAGAAAAGTGTTTATGAGTGATATAGGAAATCTCTGTACTATTGTCATTTTTGTAAATGCAAAGTTGTTATAAATTTTTTAAAGGTTATTAAGATAAAATTTAGAAGGAGACAAAATATTGTACTAGATATAATAAAACTTGATCTTAAACCTAGCTTCTCTCATTTAAGGGCTGATTGAAAATACAGAAGATAAAGTACCTAGCAGTGCTTCTGATTTTTATACTGCAATTGGGACTTATATAATGTAGAATGTGGAGCTCTTCAAAGCATAAAGTTAGATAATATTTGTTTTTGCTCTTCATTAGCTTATTTGCAAAGAGAGAATTATTAGCAGGATAAACCAAATATACCCTAATGTCAGGAAGATACAAATCTACCCTGAAGATTCTCACAACACTATTTTTTAATAGTAACGTTATTTCCTGACAAAATGTTTGCCAGTTTTCTTAGTCCATTCAGGCTGCTGTAACAAAATGTCTTAGACCGGTAACTTATAAGCCATGGAACTTGATTTCTCACAGTTTGGAAGGCTGGCAAGTCCAAGATCAAGGCACCAGCAACATCTGGTGAGCGTCCATTCCTCATAGATGGTACCTTCTAGTTCACATCATGGAAAGGACAAGGCCTCCTTTATCAGGGCAATAATCCCATTCCTGAGGGCTCTGCCCTAATGACCTAATCACCTCCCAAAAGGCCCCACCTGCTAATACCGTCACCTCGCCAGTTAGGATTTCAACATATAAATGTGAGAAGGACAAAAACATTCAGACCATAGCACCATTGTTTAATCTAATCCCACTTGTTGGCAGTTTCCCTAATTCAATTTTTCTATGACAATTGCTTCCTGAGTTTTACTATGCACATGAATTACCTGGGAATTTTTTTAAAACATGGAGGCTGATTCTTTAAATCTGGAGTGGGGCCAGAAATTCTACGTTTCAAAAAAGTTCAAATTCTACCTTTCAAAAGTCTATATCCTCAGACTAGCAACCTCAGCATCAAATGGGAACTTATATAAGAAATGCAAATTTGCAGGTTCCATCTAAGACTTACTAAACCAGGAACCCTCCGTGTGGGGCCCAGAATCTGTTTTAACAACCCCTCCAGGTGAGTCAGATACAAGATAAAGTTTGATAACCACTGTCTAGAGCAAGGGTTCTCAACTTTGACTTCCCCTGGGAAGCATTTGAAACTTTCAGCTCCTGGGTCACCCTCCAGACAAATTATGTCAGTATTCCTCGATACCAAGAAGACATCTGTAGTTTGTAAAACCTCCCATGTGTTTTTAATATCCATCCACAGTTTAGAACCACTCTTCTAGAAAACAAAAACGCTAATATTTTAACAACCATCCTATATGTATTTAAATAACCCTGTTTCATATTATCTAGTCAAGTAATTTATAATTTTATCATTTGGCTTAAATTTTATTTTTCAATATTTCAATATCTCATTTTAATTATCTTATAAAAGTGTTCATTTTTTTTCTTTTGCTCTAAAGTTGTTTAATCTCAACCTGGGTACTAAAACATGGGAAACATATAATCATGTTTTAATACAATGGGTATGCCTTAAAAATTTGTGGAATAAAGAAAATAATGAATTGAGGACTTCAGGGTTCTGACATTCTCCTCATTGCTATGTATGAACCTTTGGATTGTGCTTGTGTTTTAGCACAGGGCCACTCCTAATTCAGGTTACCATGATGGCTGCCTGAAATATACAATTGAAATCAATTCTTGCCTTTCCAAAAGTAAATAGTCTAGGTTTGGAGGTTAATCGTAAAAAATTATTAATCTCTTTTTGGCATTTTTAGAATTCCAGTGAACATAATCTCTCAGAGCATTGCTTTAATCCTTCGCAAGATCTAGGTAAAGTACCAGTCTGACAGCTAACTTATTCTAAGTTAGAAGAAAGCAAGGAGACTTCATTGACATTATTAAATTTTTTTTTCCAGAATGTAATGTTTCCTCTCTAAAATCTGAAATGGAAACTATGGTATACAAGATGGGATTTCAGCATTCTGGTACCTCTTAAACCATGTTATCTCTGTGCATTTCCCAGATCAGACACATCTTCAAACATAACAATAAATACCAATTCTGAAACACGAAGTAAATAATCTGGAGAGTCTCCAAAGCACTCTTCAACCTCCATGAAAATTGCATTGCTACCTCTTGCCCCTTCTTTTCTCCTGCCCAAAACTCTATGTCCATGGCGACTTCTCTTATACTCTAGAAGAATTCAACAACACTCCTAATAGTAGAAAACTCATGCCTCTATAATAGCTACTGGGATTGTTTTGAAAAAAAAATTCGGAGTACTGATTCTAATGCTAACGACAATGCTAGTGTATTTACCCAGTTATTATTGCTTGTCAGGGACTGTTGTAAGTACTTTGAAAGAATTTCTTGTTAAGTTCTCACAATAATCAACTACTCAAATATTAGATGCTCACAATGACTTATCTGTTTGTCACATACCACTCTTACTCTCTTTCTTCTTTAAACTCATTTATTTTCCCTTTATAACATCACTTATCTATATGTTTGCTGCTGTTTTCTCTGTCTTTACCACTGAAATAAAAGCTCCAAGAGGGCAAGGCCTTCTCTACCTTGTTTACTGATCTGACTTCATTGCTTACAAAAAAAGCCAGGCCTATAGCAATCGCTAATTAAAGACAGAAGAAAAAAGGGAAATAAGGAAGGAAGAAAGGTAGAAAGGAAGGAAAGAAGAAAAGAAGGAAAGGAGAGATAGAGGGAAGGAGGAAGGGAAAAAGAAAAGAAAGGAGGAAGGGAAGGAGAGAGGGAGAAAGCAAAGGAGGGAAGGAAATAAGAAGAGAGAAAGTGTGAAAACAAGAAAATGAGTCAAGGAAGGAGTAAGTGAGGGAGGAAGAAAAGACAAAAATGCCTGCTTGTAGACCAAGAAGATTCACTGGAGCAAACAGCCAAGACATATTAGGAACCCAGGTTTTTGGTGGTATGAAATGCCTGTGGCTGACCTTACTTGTCACTGTTACAAAGTCGTGGACACCTGTTAGGCTCACTCAGTGCTCAGCTAAATTAAAAAATATACAAAACCTAGAAGCACCTTATATTTTGTATGTCAGAGATCCTTCTAACATAACTTTAGTTTTGTGGATGATAATATCCTAAGAAATACTGAAATATTACCTCTTTGTTCTTATACAGGCTTTTCAGAATTACATTTGCAATTCATTGGGTTTACATTTACAGTGGAAAATTATTCTTCTAATTGGGGATTTCTGATTATCTTGAAGCTGTTTAATAATAAATGCATTAACCATAGGTGATGATGTGCAGCAGGATTCAGGGAACATTCTCTATAGATGCAAATTTCCCCCACTAAAGTTAGCTTTTCAAGGCCACTTCAGTTTACTGGCTCTCTGACAACCATCTTAAAATATGTCAAAGAACTATCTTCCCCTTGAGGTAAAATATTTTGATTTACTTCACTTGCAAATTGAATTTTATGAAAGACGGGTGTGAAGACAAGTACAAGAGAAACTGGAACTGAGTAGGAAGTTACAAGAAAGCACACAAATTCTACAGTCCCTTCATTTTTCTCTTTGTGCCATAAAAATTGAAACCAACATAAAGAAATCAAACATTTGAATGAAGAAAGTGTGCATTTCAATAGTAAATATCTCATTCAAATATACTCAAGTGATAACTTGATACATTGATACTTTACTAAAAGAATGATGATTCCACACCCAGACTTGAGAGGACTAGAAAACCAGTGCTGCATCATGAGTCAGGAAAATAAAGATTTTTATAAGCAACTGGTTGAAACTTCAGAGAGGACAAAATTGTAGGCCAAAAATACAGAGTTTCCCATCAGTAATAAAAGCCAGCCCTGCAAGAATTCTCAGAGATTAAAGCATGTTTGGAATACAGAAACAGAAAATTTCCTGAACATTTAGTGACAAATAGGAAAAGATGAAAGTGGCCATGCAGAAAAGTGACTCCATGGAATAGTAAATCTCCAAACCTTAGATGTTCAGCAAAGAGATGAAAACTTAGCTTGAGGATACCATTGATAAGGCTTCAAAGCAACACACACTTTGTGAATGCACATAGCACTTCTCCAAACGAATAGAAGTGAGCTTTGAGGTCCTTATACGATGAAGCTAGGAAAATTGCCACTTTAGGGTATCAGCAAGAGATTTCTAAATTAAATCTGAACTTGAGAAGAAAGTATTATTTTGCAAAGAGGAATGCGAGGTTCGAAGAAAAGAAAATAAATTAACTGGTGAAAATGAAAGGCTTTTTTCTGTTGTGGATAGCTTAGCAGCTCAAAATAGACAATGTGAAAATGAGCTTGAGATTTTGTCATTAAGAGTAGGTTGCCTTCTGGAAAACTTAAATTGCAGAAACCATGCATTAGATCAGCAATGAGAAAGATTTTCTGGAGTGTTTTCAAGCTACTGTTTCTAAGAAGACCAAAGAGTTTGAGATTTTGAGAAGTTCTGACACAGAATCAAGAATGCTGGATCCACTTTTGAAATCTCATTATAGTTATTACCTGGGCAAGTCTTTAAGGATTGCAATCTCTCTTTAGAAAGCCAGGCAGGCCAAACAACTTGTTCAAGAATTGAGAAGTCTAAGGCTTAATTTGCCTGAAGGAAAATCCATCCAGCTGGCATTGTTGTGAGCCAATCTTGTATCTTAGAGATAAAGATATTTTGATGAGCTCTGTCTTAGCTTCAGATGTTATACATGCTATGAGCAAAGATAGTTTTTGTATATTCAGGGTGACAGCTTATCTCTTACATGTACCTTGAAGGCCAGTTCTGTTGGTCTTCTACTAATTCTACTACTAGTTCCAACAGAAAATGACAATGAAAAGAATAAGATGGCCAGGATTCTGGAAGGATTTAAATCTGTCCTACATAAAAACAGACTGAAAATCAATCTGTGTATTTTCCACCGGAAGCCTAAGACAGGATGTTGGCTATTATTAAAGCAATTCTTACAGCTGTTGCTGAAAATCATGTTAGAGTCCAGTTGGTTTAAAAGAAGGGCTGTACATTACAGAGATTACTTGTGATGAGCTCATTCTAGCTACTGTTTGTAAGAAACTGTATCATATTGAATGTGTTCCCAAAGGGAAAATTACAGTCTTTGTCTGTTACTGGAATCACGGTGTTCCCAGGAACATGCTCTATTTTATCCATGTTCTTTCTTTGAATGAGTGGAAGGGAGATTTGGCATCAAGTTCCCAGAAAAAATAAAAAAGGTCGCCTACTCATAATAACTTCAACAATTAGGAAGGGCTCTTCAGCTAGTCTGTTTGTAGCAGTGGACTGATCCTTTGCTAAGAGAGACATAGAACTAAACTTTCTCACAGAAATTTCAATGAACCTATGGCTCAGGAACTGTACAGTAGATAACAATCTTCAAGGAAAAGCTGTGTTGGCTGCCTTTCTCGATTCTTTCTGTTGAGCAACCATGAAGATGTCTAACCCTGGCATATACCAATGACCTCTCACTTACATTTTTCTCACAGCAGTCTTTCGAGGCCCTTTCTTCTGTGGAATTCAATCACGCAGAATATATGTTTTGCTTCAGCCACATGGGATTGGATATGGACTCACAGTATGAAAGGTTATGTGTGCAGGAGCTAATATGGCCTGTAACTCCTGTTCCCAATTGTTATAGCTCTCTGCATGTCATAGTATGAAGTGAGTATGGCATCAATACACCACAAGGATGATAAGACTGTGGAATGGGTTCAAACCACCAGCCTGAGGAGCATAAGAACACTAAATCTGAATGCACCTTCAACCTTTTCAACTCTGAGCTTCCATGCTTAATCTAAGAACAAGTTCTCTGGAGAAGTTCTAGTATGCCAGACACTTGAAAATGTGATTTGTTTTTAAGAGTCTGGAGCAGGAGAGATTACAACACCTGTAAGAGATTCTAAGAGCCAAGAATGAGCTTCAAAATTATACCAACCCAACCAATTTCAACCATGTGGTTCACCCTGCCTGGAGATGGAATGTATGATGTCGTGGCTCTCACTCTAAATACTTTGCTTACTTCATTAGAGAAAAAGCCAGGTTCTGCTCCGGTCAATCTGTCCTAGTAGGGTTAGTTCAGAAATAAGGCATACATTTCAAGGCTCTCATCAGATGGATCAGAGGTGGGAGTGAGCATGCCTTTGAGAAGTGTCTGATCTTGACCAGAATTTTGACAAAGTGCCTCATTCAGATTCTACCACACACTGAACTCTATCGAATGAACGACTTCAACGCCAGCAGCCTGCTGAGTTGCACCTTCCCTCACAAAAGCCAACTCTTACTAGGTTTTGAGAGGTTCTCCTTATGCACCTGAAACTTACTCCATGGCCTTTCACAATCACCTCCTATTTCAATGTCAAGGCTAATGCTGAATCTCTAGTGTTGTCCAAGGACATGTAGAATCTATTTACTAATATGAAAATGAAGAAAATATTTATTACACTAATGATTAGTTTTAGGCCATGTTATTCCGTAGAGGTAGGCAAGATCCATCTTCTGCATAGCTCTGAGACAACACTGTTTTTATTTTCCCTTAAAAGGTCACCACACAGTGTCTCTTCTATTCTGAACAAACTGAGATGCTGAGTAGGACTCGTGCTCAACTGTGCCTGTGAATGATTACATGCCTCCTTTGTAGGAAACTCTTTTCTATAGTATGTATGGTGTAGAGGAGTAGAGATCTGAGCATGAGTGTAGGTGAATATCCTTTCATTTTTAACTCAATGTAAATTCAAATGACAAGTATCATCCTTTATTATTTTTATGTCTTCTCAGAAGACAGACTATAATAAAACTCATTACATTTATAATTAAATTTAAAATATCAGTGACAGTTGTATGTTCCTTGCTTTTCCCAATTTGGGTTTTTTTTTAAGTTTATTTTTTGATCTTATAAGATTTAAATGTAGTATATGGATTACTGATTTGCTTTCACAATCTAATCACATTCTTTTATAGACTATAATTGGATAAGATGGTTTACAGTTGTGGCAATCCTATCTGAAAGATGCATATGAATTTTACTTCAAAGTGAGTTACAGAAATTCTATTTCAATTTTTTTTTTTTTTTTACAAATTTGAAGAGCTTTTGCCAAAAACAAATGTTACAAATATAATAATAACACAAGTTTAACTCTTGGTATTTTTAGAAAAATTAACTGAAGCATGCTTTTAATATTGCGACCCTCGGCAATGCTGACAATAAAGTGTAGTAGATTTGTTCCAATTAAAATCAGTTTAAATCATTAAAACTAAATGTAAATTGATACTCTGTTAAATAAAATTTAACTTTTTTCTGTTTGAAGCGTATTTGTGGTTATTCGATATAACACAGAGATGTCGGGTTTATTTTTCAAAGTATATTTCATAAATTTTAAGGAGTAATTTAGTTTCATTTTTATAACAATTTCTCAATTTTGTTTTCAGGCTGAAAAATAATTTAGCTATTAAAATGAGTAGAACTACAGTTGGCCTT